>NC_000021.9:44083753-44237649 GCF_000001405.40 Homo sapiens
TTCCACTAACTCAACAGGATTTGGCCTGTGGAAAGTACAGCTATTTGTCACATTTTTTAGTCTAGGGCAGGGCTTAAATCTCGTGCTGAATGTCTCTACAATGCCACAAATACAGTTTAGATAAGTTGAAAATACCTTATTAAAGTTAAATTTAAGCATCAGTTACTCAGAAAATCACGAATTGAGAGATTCTGAGGGCCTTGTGAAGAGCCCAAGCTTAGAGGTTTAGGCACAAGAGCAGGGGGTACAAGAGGGAAAGAAGTACAGGCCTTTCTGGAGTTCAGAGAGACCGCTGCACCGCGCTACCGCAGGAAGCTAACTGCAAAACTGGGTGACGTGGTTTCAAATGCCTGATTCTTTGACTCTAGGCCAAGGAACCTGGAACGTATACACTCAGGCAGCTGTGCGCCTCGGTGGGCTCCGTGTGGTTCGTCCTCCCTCACATCTACCCCATTGTGCAGTACGACGTGTACTCACAGGAGCCCCAGCTGCACGTGGAGCCGCTGGCTGGTGAGTGGGGTCCCCAGCCTTTGAGGAGGCGTGCTGCTGGGGCAGTTCTGAGGAGACCTGCTGAGATGCCAGGCTTCTCATAAGTTTTAGCTGTGTCTGCCTTTAAGAGATATTTTGGGTAACATAATGGAAATTTTGCCTGGGAACTAGCTGACTGCCTCTTTTGTTTATCTGAATGTTTGCTTTCCTGTAATTGCTTTTTCATGTTTAATAAACATGGTGTATCTGAAAATAAGAAACACAGAAGAATTAGCTCTGAGAGTGGAAAAAAGAAACTCAAGGTATTTTTTTCTATTGGCTCACTCAACCTAATGGTCAATGCAGAGGACTTCTGGGCCCAAATGTGCAGGGATTTCCCCCTGCCAGCAAGCAAGCAGTCGGTCCTGCAATTCAGTTCTGACCCTGTCTACTGGAGCTGGCGTCAGACACCACAGGGTGAGGGCTCAGTCCCCAAGACAGTCCCCCCCTTCCCATGCCAGCCACCAGCCCAGGGTTCTTTTGCTTGTGCTCCTGACCAACTAGCTAGAAATCAGGGCTCTCACAACCCCCTTTCTGGGTTTGATGAATTTGTTAGAACAGCTCACAGAACTCAGGGAAACAGGTTGACTGGATTATTATAAGGGATATAGATGAAGAAGTGTGGAGGGTGAGGTATGGGGAAAGGGGTGCAGAGCTTCCACGCCCTCCCTGGGCGCCACCCTCCAGGAACCTCCATGTGTTCAGCTGCCTGAAAGCTCTCCAGACCCTGTCCTTTGGTTTTTATGGAAGTGACATTACACAGGCATGATCGATTACACCACTGGCCACTGATGAGCAACTCGACCTTCAGCCCCTCTTTCCTCCCTGGAGGTTGGGTGCCACTGCTGAAAGGCCCGACCCTCTAATCCTGCCCTGGTCATTCTGGTGACCAGTCCTCATCTTGAAGCTACCTTGGAGCTGCCAGCCTCCAATCAACTCATTAGCCTACAAAAAGACATCACTTTGGAGATTCTAAGGAATTTGGGAGCTAGTATGCCTGGAAATGGGGTTGAAAACTACATGTGTATTTTACAGTGTCACATTAGGCCAAGAAGCAGCTAATGTCTACCACAGGGTTTCATAAATATGTATATAATTTCCTGCTTAGAAGTACGTTTCAAATGCTAAACACTAGATTTAGTTAGGATCTATACTCAGATCCCAGCACTTTGGGAGGCCAAGGCTTTGAGACCAGCATGGGTAAGCCAGTCGGGGCAGGATGACAAAACCCCATCTCTGCAAAATAAAAAAATGAAGTAAATTAGCTGGGTGTAGTCGTGCGCCACGGCCTCTAGTCCTAGCTACAGGCTGGAGCCCCAGCTGAGGCTCCTGCCTCAGCCTCCTGAGCCCAGGAGTTTGAGGCCTCAGGGAGCTGTGATTGCGCCACTGTTCTCCAGCGTGGGTGACAGAACAAAACTCCATCTCTTAAAAAAAAAAAAAGTTTTCCTTTGAAAGGGTTGATTAAACTTGTCCGTCTGGCATGGCATTTGAGAAATTCAAAGCTATTGTCCTTTCTGATAAGTTCTAAAATTGGAAGGAGTTGCTATAAACAAATGATTGAAGAACATGTGGCAGCTGAACAAGAGTGAGTGAATGTCTCCTTTGTTCGGGCTAGCAACGATTTATTTATTTGCCTGTTTCTTCTACGTGGAAAAAAATCACAAAGGGCATTTTTCTGTTATTCCCCCATTCCCCCTATTTTTCTGCATTTGTGCCTCTTGTGTGGCCACCAGCAAAGGCTGTCAGATGTGGGACACAGCAGTCAGTCTCTCCAGTGATTCTTCCATTGGAACATTGTGTAGAGAAGCTGAACTCGATTCCCGCAGGGGAGCCGAAGCACCAGCCAGCAGGCCCTGCCCTCCCCATGGCCCAGCGGCTGCAGTGCCAGGCTCATGGCCTGGCTCCTGCTTCCTGCCTAGTGTCCCCTGTCTCTGTCCACTCTCCCCCCGGTCCTGGTATCTTGCCTGCCTTCTGTCTTCCCTGCAGCAGGATTCTCAGAGGCCTCAGCTCACTCCTGCCTCTCATTGCTGTCTTGGAGTGAGGGGGAGCCACCTGACTGCTGACTGTTCTTAACCCAAAAGCCCGTGGCCTGAAGCTGAAAAATCCAGAGAAGGTTTTGAATATTTGAGCAGCACCAGCACAGTCAAGTTTTCTTTACAGTCTCTTCTTAAGCCTCATTATGTGATTCTCTTCTACTACTAATGGGCAGGCAAATTTTGTGACCCTCAGAGACGTAGTCATGATCATAATCCCTGACTTGCTGAACCAAGATGGGTATAAGACTCCTTGACTCACAGGATTCTTTTTTCCCCAGCAAGGTTCTCCTTCAACCCTGTAGTCCACATCATTGAGATGAAAAGTTAGGGCAGAAGGGAATGGAAGTAGAAGGAATTCATGGAGATCCCAAAGGAGCAAATCTTTCATAGTAAAAGAAATAGAGCCCCTTTCACCCCATTGCGGGCCCTGAGATGCTGTCTTCCGGTTGGCAGCGGTGCTGAGCCACGATCTCTTTTCCTTTAGATAGCCTTCTGGCAGGCATTCCTCAGAGAGTCAAGTTCACTGTCACTACCGGCCATTATACGATAAAGAATGGAGACAGCCTGCAGCTTAGCAATGCCGAAGCCATGCTCATCCTGTGCCAGGCGGAGAGCAGGGCTGTGGTCTACTCCAACACGAGAGGTGAGGTGCCGCCCACCCAGGCCCAAGGAGGATGCCCACCTTGCCCTGCACTGTGTGGGTGTGAGGGTGAGCCTGGCCTTGCTGCCATCCTGCTGAGCGCCCCTCAACAGTGTCTGGAGTCCGTGTTCCATAGGAGCCCTGCGGCCTGATGCCTGTGCTGGGGTCCCATCTGAGGTGATAAACTGAGAGTGGTTCACACGCTGAGTGGCCGAGCAGTGCTTGTCTGGCTGAGGATTAGGAGATGGGGGTCACGGCTGGGGTCACGTTCCATGGTGATGCCTGCCAGACCCTGTCCCCCTTGGGCTGGCCCTGCTCCCGAGAAGCAAAAGCAGAGCAGCCCTTGCAGGTGCTGTTGAGAGCCCTGAGCACTCCCATCCTCCCAGCCACGAGGAAGGGGAAGGGGAGGACCCTGCTCCCCTGGGGTGGGGGTGGATCTGCGGATGAGCTGGAACGGGAGAAAGTCATGCAGGGACCTACACAGGACTTGGGTGGGCCCCGTGGGAAATGCCCTTTTCCTCTCTTCAGATTGAGATCAATGATGGGTCTGGGCGCCTGCCTGCCGGCTTTCACACAGGGCTGCTCTGTCCTAGGGGCCTTGTTCTTGGGTTTGCCTGCCAGGTGCGCAGGAGCGGGAGAGGTTGAGCAGTGGCCTCACTGCTGGGCCATCACCTGCTGTAAGGAAAAGGACAAGTGAAACCGAGGGAACAGCTTTGAAGTGACTTTTTCTGTCCTTCGTAGAACAGTCTTCTGAGGCCGCGCTCCGGATTCAGTCCTCCGACAAGGTCACGAGCATCAGTCTGCCTGTTGCGCCTGCGTACCACGTGATCGAATTTGAACTGGAAGTTCTCTCTTTACCTTCAGCCCCAGCACTCGGAGGGGAGAGTGACATGCTGGGGATGGCAGAGCCCCACAGGAAGCATAAGGACAAACAGAGAACTGGCCGCTGCATGGTTACCACAGACCACAAAGTGAGTAGGGACAGTGGAGGAGCTTAGCTTGTGGGGCGTCCGCCGCCCGCCTGCCTGCTGGGAAAGGCGATGTAGCGATGCCTGCTGTTAGCCTGGCTCCTTCTGATTCCCGATGCCCTGGGCATGTGTTTAGCAGTTCTGTCTGTCTGTGAATCACCCTTTCTTAGATAAGGGGTGCATTTTTTGCAAGGGCAGAGACAAGCCAGCTCTACCTTTCCCTCTCAGTTCCAGGGGCCAGGGAGTTTGCTGTAAGAGGTTAGGGCCGGCTTAGGCATGAGGGGCGTAAAACTTGGGTCATGTCCATTAGACCGGTGACGAGGCCAGAGGAGGTCTGTGTCGTGTGTGCCTCGGTGTCTGTCCACTGAAACTCATAAGCTCAGCCACGGAGGAGCTGTCTCATTTTAGGCTTTGGTGCTGGTACTTACTGACAGTTACTTGAGAAAGATGTGATTTCGGTCCCAGAGCCACAGGATATCAGCTCATGGAATGTGTCGCTGCATCATGTTACTCAGGGTGTGCCCAAGTCTCGTAGCCCAGAAATCAATCCTGAGGGCCCTGAAACAGCCCAGGGGCCGCAGTATACGCCCAAGAGCAGCGGGGGCAAAGGGCAAGGCATGCCGTCTTTCCAAAGCACGGAGTCACCAGACAAGTCCACGCCTGAAGACGAATGTTGTAATGTTCAGCTTTTGAAGAACCTGAGGAAGTGTCTTTCCCTTAACTCACACAGACGTTCACCATTCACGAAGGTGGCGCTTAGCTCAGCAGGAGCGCGCAGCACTGGTGGCACCTGTGCTATGTGCCGTGTTATCCCGCTCTTCCCTGGCGCTGGTGGCACCTGTGCTGTGTGCCGTGTTATCCCACTCTTCCCTGGCGCTGGCGGCACCTGTGCTGTGTGCCATGTTATCCCACTCTTCCCTGACACTGGCGGCACCTGTGCTATGTGCCGTGTTATCCTCTCTTCCCTGGCGCTGGCGGCACCTGTGCTGTGTGCCGTGTTATCCCACTCTTCTCTGGCGCTGGCGGCACCTGTGCTGTGTGCCGTGTTATCCTCTTTTCCCTGGCACTGGCGGCACCTGTGCTGTGTGCCGTGTTACCCCGCTCTTCCCTGGCGCTGGTGGCACCTGTGCTATGTGCCGTGTTATCCTCTCTTCCCTGGCGCTGGTGGCACCTGTGCTATGTGCCGTGTTATCCTCTCTTCCCTGGCGCTGGTGGCACCTGTGCTGTGTGCTGTGTTATCCTCTCTTCCCTGGCGCTGGTGGCACCTGTGCTATGTGCCGTGTTATCCTCTCTTCCCTGGCACTGGCGGCACGCACGCTGTGTGCTGGGGTATTCACCTCTTCCCTGTGGGGAATAAGGCTTGAGACTTGCTTCCTTCCTGCCCTTAAGGGATGTAATAGCTTTGTCCTCACTGTGCCCCTAAACTGATTTGGTTTTCAGTTACATATTCAGCCTCACATGGATTAAATGCTTAGATAATTCATTAACTATGGAGTAGTTACTGATTGGCTAATGTCATCTGGAAATACATGACTGAAAGCACTTTGTCAAAACCCTGTGCACATTGCAACATGCATGGCTCCGCGGCCCTGCGTGTATGGGAGCAGCAGGTGGGTCTGCTGCTTAGAGGACGGCTGTGCTCTTCCGCCGTTGAGGTGACTCTGGTGATGTGTGCATGTCTTGCCAGTTCTGCGTTCGTTTCTCTTGTCTGTATGCATAGCTTCCTGTTTCTCGTTGGTTTGTGTATGTGTTGGGTAAGGCTTTGCTTCCTGGATAATGAGTGGTTGAAGCCATAATAAAATGTCTAGGGCGTGGGCGGGCACTGCAGGTGAGTCTGGGCAGCAGTGGTGGTGGCTGTGCTGTCCGTCGGCGAGTGGTCTGAGAGTGTCTTTGTGCTTCCTCCTCAGGTGTCGATTGACTGCCCGTGGTCCATCTACTCCACAGTCATCGCACTGACCTTCAGCGTACCCTTCAGGACCACACACAGCCTCCTGTCCTCAGGAACACGGTAACGGAGGCGTAGCGTGCGGGCCCTGGCTTCTTTCCCCAGACTCTTCTAAGTGGAGGTTCCTAATGTTCAAAACTGGCCTTCGTGGTGACCAAGGATGTCTTCTTATGTGACCACAAGGCCATTGTTTGTGTCTTAAAATCCACAATTCCCTGGTGTCCTGTGACATCCAGTTCATATTCAGGTTTTCCCAACTGTCTGAAA
Source organism: Homo sapiens (assembly GCF_000001405.40). NCBI lineage: Eukaryota > Metazoa > Chordata > Mammalia > Primates > Hominidae > Homo > Homo sapiens. The sequence goes on from NC_000021.9 coordinate 44,090,138, forward strand.
ATGACCTTTTATGGTTGCTTTGTGTGACTTGGGGTCCAAAATCTCCATCAGACCACTAGATCTCTGTTCATCCTTTCTTCCCTGTTTTCAAGCCATCGACTTGTTCACTTGCAGGCCAGGTTTCCTCTGGACGCCCGCCTTTCTGGATCTGGCTGGATTTGTTAACTAGTTCTCCTGTCCCTGTATTTCTTGTCAATTGCCTGCAACCTCTAGAACAGGAGCTTTTAAGCTCAGCATTAGTGACATTTTGGGCTAGATAACTCTGTTGTAGGGGCTTTCCTGTGTGCTGTAGGGTGTTGAGCAGCACCCCAGGCTCTCCCATGAGATGCCAGTAGCACTCCCCACCTGCAGGTGTGGCAGCCACAGATGTCTGTAGACACTGCCCAGTGTCCTCTGGGTGGGGCGGACGTGCCCCAGTGGAAAACAGCTGCCCTAAAGGCTTGAGTAGACTCCAGTTCTGCTTTGAGGCAGGCGGGGCTGTGTGCTTCCTGTTGACTGCACCGGGAGGCCCACGGTGTCCAGGTGTCCTACCTTAGTGACGGTGCTAGCGTTGATCAATGGGCTCGGGATGCTAGCCTGGCCTCTCACCACAACTTTTTATCCATTGATGATGTGTGGATAATTTGGAAACAAAAACGTCAGACCCATGTTTAGAATGGAACATTATACTAGCAGCTTTTTTCCCCTTCAAATCACAGCAAAGGGAACTGTAGATATTAATAGTTAAAAACATCAATAATCTCTAAAAGAACCTTATTAAAAAATTATTTTTCAGCCGGGCGTGGTGGCTCATGCCTGTAATCCCAGCACTTTGGGAGGCCGAGGCAGGCGGATCACGAGGTCGGGAGTTCAAGACCAGCCTGACCAACATAGTGAAACCCCGTCTCTACTAAAAATACAAAAATTAGCCGGGCATGGTGGCGGGCGCCTGTAATCCCAGCTACTCGGGAGGCTGAGGCAGGAGAATCACTTGAACCTGGGAGGCAGAGGTTGCAGTGAGCTGAGATCGTGCCATTGCACCCCAGCCTGGGCGACAAGAGCAAGACTCTGTCTCAAAAAATAGTAACTATTATTAATATTTTCAAAGTTTTGCATGTAATGGAAATGGATATAAGCCCCGCCTATCATCTCTCAATGGAGAGTCTTCACCTGTAATGAGGAGGGCTGCTGCTGTCTCCCCGTGGCTCCCCAAAGGCCAGTGAGGGTGACCAGCCATGATCACTTAATAAGGCTGGTCAGAAACTATATTCTTTCTTCCATTGCCTCACAGAACTTGCCTCTTTAAAAACTTTTTTTATTTATTTTTATTTGTTATTTTTTTGAGATGGAGTCTCGCCCTGTCACCAGGCTGGAGTGCAGTGGCGTGATCTCAGCTCACTGCAACCTCCACCTCCCAGGTTCAAGCAATGCTCGTGCCTCAGCCTCCCGAGCAGCTGGGATTACAGACACGTGCCACCACGTCTGGCTAATTTTTATATTTTTAGTAGAGATGGGGTTTCACCATGTTGGCCAGGATGGTCTCAATCTCCTGACCTCATAATCTGCCCACCTCGGCCTCCCAAAGTGCTGGGATTACAGGCGTGAGCCACCGTGCCCGGCCAAAAAGGTTTATTTTCTGGCACTTTTCGGTGTGAAATCTGAAGGGAAACTTATGCAACAACTTAGCTTACTTTGCTTTGTTGCTTTTTTGATTCCCCAGGCAGAGAGGGTCTCCTTAACAAAGCTAAGATATATTTAATAAAGTTCTTACATATCAAAATAATACTTTTTGTTTTTCCACTTTAGGAAATATGTTCAAGTTTGTGTCCAGAATTTGTCAGAACTTGACTTTCAGCTGTCAGATAGTTATCTTGTAGATACCGGTGATAGTACCGACCTGCAACTAGTACCACTGAACACGCAGTCCCAGCAGGTAAACATTGTGTAGACCTGAGCATAAACTTCTCAACAGAGAACCAGAGTGTACGGAAATGATGTAGTATGTGTTGCGACTGAGCCTTTAGATAGAACAGCTGCACTGCTGATGAGTAAAGGCTCCTGTGCAGCTCCTCCGGCTGCCCTGAGGCTGGATCGAGGCTTGCTCCTGAGTAAGCGGGTGGCTGGATGGATGAATTCTTCTTTTTAGAAGAATTAAATCTGAAACTGGTCCCACTCTATGCGTAGACGTGTGCAGATCCAAGCTTCTGTTTGAACGCACTGTTGATTGCATGGGCACTGCTCCACTCTGCCCAGAGCCTGATGCCTGCCAGTGCCAGAGCGATGGTGCCCGACACCTTGGTGCCTTTGTAAAAGAGCCATGCTTGTGCCTGCATCTGGACCTTGCTTTTTCTGTTTATGGCTCGCTGCCTGGATGAATCTTGAACTTGCTTTTTCCGTTTATCTTTCACGTGTGTTTTTAGGCAGTAAATGCTGAGTGTTTAGAGATCAAAGGCTTCCTTAATGGATGTCTGAATCTCAGCATTTTCAAAGGATTTGCCCCCACTAATCCTTTAGCTCTTTCAGATATCACTGGGGGCTCATCACTGTGCTTTTAGGTGTGGACTTTACATGTAATAGCGGTGTTCAGCCCCTGCATTAGGTTGTGCTGGTTCCTAAAATAATTTAAATATAAAATAATTGGCTGGATGTAAAGATTACTTTTTATCTTATTTTTTAAATTTTTATTTATCTTTTTTTGAGATGGAGTTTCGTTCTTGTCGCCCAGGCTGGAATGCAATCGTGTGATCTTGCCTCACTGCAACCTCTGCCTCCTGGGTTCAAGCGATTCTCCTGTCTCAGCCTCCTGAGTAGCTGGGATTACAGGCACCCGCCAACACGCCCAGCTAATTTTTGTATTTTTAATAGAGACGTGGTTTCACCATGTTGGTCAGGCTGGTCTTCAACTCTTGGCCTCAGGTGAACCACCCACCTTGGCCTCCTAAAGTGTTGGGATTATAGCCATGAGCCACCACCTCTAGCCAAGATGTACTCTTTAATTAATTGATGATATATTCCCCTGTTTTGGAGCTGCATGGGATATGCTATATATTAATTAATATCCTTTGGGCATGGTGGCTCACACCTGTGATCCCAACACTTTGGGAGGCCCAGATGGGTGGATCACTTGAGCTCAGGAGTTTGAGACCAGCCTGAGCAACGTGGCAAACCCCATCTCTACAAATACAAAAATTAGTCAGGCATGGTGGCACACACCTGGATTCCCAGCTACCCAGGAAGCTGAGGTGAGAAGATCTCTTGAACCTGGGAGGTTGGGCTGCAATGAGCTGTGATCACACCACAGCACTCCAGCCTGGGTGACAGAGTGAGACCCTGTCTCTAAAAAAGGGAAAAAAAAAATCAGCGGGGCGTGGTGGCTCACACCTGTAATCCCAGCACTTTGGGAGGCCGAGGCAGGTGGATTGCCTGAGCTCAGGAATTCAAGACCAGCCTGGGCAACACGGTGAAACCCTGTCTCTACTAGAATACAAAAAATGAGCTGGGCATGGCGGCGTGCATCTGTAGTCCCAGCTACTCGGGAGGCTGATGCGGAAGAATCACTTGAACCCAGGAGGTGGAGGTTGCAGTGAGCCGAGATCCTATCACTGCACTCCAGCCTGGGCGACAAAGCGAGACTCCATTTCAAAAAGAAAAAAAAATTAAGCTACTTTTTAATGATCTCATATGATATAAAACTTATGGTATCATAAAAAGTTAAAGATTTACCAATTTTGTACAATCTTCTGCTGGGACAAGGCCAGGCAAAGGGAGTCAGGGCAGGGACAGGTGCTGTGGGGCCTAAAGCAGCATGCATAGGCGTGCTGTGAGGCGGGGCCTGCCCATGGTGTCTGCTCAGCACCCTTCGCATGGCGTGTGTTTCGCTGCAGTGTCTGTGTCCTCTTTGCGGTTATGGTGCTGTGTGAGCAGTGACCCCCAACTCTCTTTCCAGCCCATCTACAGCAAGCAGTCGGTGTTCTTCGTCTGGGAACTCAAGTGGACAGAAGAGCCTCCCCCTTCTCTGCATTGCCGGTTCTCTGTTGGATTTTCCCCAGCTTCTGAGGAACAGCTGTCTATCTCCTTAAAGCCGTATACTTATGAATTTAAAGTGGAAAATTTTTTTGTAAGTGATGTATTATTTTGGGAGGGTGGGGGTGAAAAAATGAAAGATGGCATTATGTTCTTTATAATCTGAAGAACTGAATAGACAGCTTCTGTCAACATAATGAAGGAGCAGCTGGAGAAAAACAGTTGTTGGGGTAGTTGAATCATTGACTGTCTTTATTTTAGAACCCCAGGTCCTTCTCAAGTGACACATCTGAGATGCCCACACTCCTGGGGGCATCTCTAAGAGGAGTGTTTGTCATTTGGAAAGCCCAAAGATTCCTTTTTTCTTCTATCTTTTTCCCTTTCTCATGTTGACTTAGTAACTCCCTGGAAATATTTCTTGGAGTCATTTCATCTTCAGGGGCATTGCTTTCTAAGGCATATCTCTAGTTTTTCAAAGAAAAGCTGAAAACATATGAAAACCTGCTAGCTGAGTATTGTGAAGATTTTCTTAGAACTTGTGCATCATTTGGTAGAAGCCAATTTGAGTGTGGAATGAAGAGTAGCCTTGAGCTAGGTGAGTAGATACAGGTGTGTGCTGTGTTCCTTTAGGGAGATGATTTGACTTAATGTTTTGCAATTTTGTGATACTTTCTTTTCTTCTCTTTACTATTTGAAATTATCAAACAATGTTTATTTGAAGTGTTTGTCTTTATAGTTTTGATATTAGCAGTTTTTTTCTATCTTCTTCCATCCAAGACAAATTGTTTTGACCTTCATGTTTTATATAACTCTCCTTAAATAAATTTAAATGAATAAATAAAACCACAAATTATTAAATAATTTAATTAAATCAAATAATAGTATATATTATAATAATAATTTATATATAAACAAATTATTTATTTATGAGACAAGGTCTCACTCTGTTGCCCAGGCTGGAGTGCAGTGGCACAATCATAGCTCACTGCAGCCTGGACCTTCTGGGCTCATTATCTTCCCACCTCAGCCTGCCAAGTAGCTGGGACCACAGGCACGTGTCACCACACCTGGCTAATTATTTTTATTTTATTTTATTTATTTATTTATTTATTTATTTATTTTCGAGACGGAGTTTCACACTTGTTGCCCAGGCTGGAGTGCAATGGCACGATCTCGGCTCACCACAACCTCTGCCTCCCAGGTTCAAGCGATTCTCCTGCCTCAGCCTCCTGCGTAGCTGGGATTACAGGCATGCACCACCACGCCTGGCTAATTTTTTGTAGAGGCGGTGTTTCTCCATGTTGATCAGGCTGGTCTCAAACTCTCTACCTCAGGTGATCCACCTACCTTGGCCTCCCAAAGTGCTGGGATTACAGGTGTGAGCCACTGTGCCCGGCTAAAGTATGGGTTTTTTTTTGTTTTTTGTTTTGTTTTGTTTTTTTGAGACAGAGACTCGCTGTGTCGCCCAGGCTGGAGTGCAGTGGCGCGATCTCGGCTCACTGCAACCTCCGCCCCTCTAGGTTTAAGCAATTATCTGCCTCAGTCTCCGGAGTAGCTGGGATAACAGGCATGTGCTGTGCCACCACGCCTGGCTAATTTTTTGTATTTTTAGTAGAGATGGGGTTTCACCATCTTGGCCAGGCTGGTCTTGAACTCCTGACCTCATGATCCACCCCGCTTGGCCTCCCAGAGTGCTGGGATAACAAGCATGAGCCGCCGTGCCTGGCCCAAAGTACGGGTTTGTATGTTGCTGTATCTATTCAATTCTCCTGGTAAAGACCTGAGTGGAATTTCTGGGTCATAGGGTAACTCTGTGGTTAGCTTTTTGAGCAACTGCCAACTTTTTCCAGAGGGCTCTACATTCCCACCAGCAACATAGTGGATTCCAGCTGGGACCCAGAGAGTCCCAGCTTCTGTGTGTCCTGCCAGCACTTGTCTCACTGTGTTTTTGGTTGTGGCTGTCCCAATTGGCAGGCGTTTCCCCAGTGGCTGGTGATGTGCTGCGGCTCGTGGGCGTGTGGCCCATTTTTCTGCCTTCTTTGGAAGGATGTCTGTTCAGATCCTTTCCCCATGTTTAAATAGGGTTATTTGTTTTTTATTATTGAATTGTAAGTTCTTTATATATCCTAGGTACCAGGTCCTTATATATGATTTGCAAGTATTTTCTTCCATTTGTTGTCTTTTGAAGCACCAAAGTTAAATTTTGATGAAATCCAATTCAACTCTCTCTTTTATTGCTTAAATTTTTTGCTTTGGACCTAGAAAATCATTGCCTTTGGTCAAAAAGATTTTCTCTTGCATTTCCTTCCAAGATGTTCGTAATTTGAGCACTTGCATTTAGGTCTGTGATCTACTTTGACTTAATTTCTGTGTATGGTGAGAGGTAGGGTCCAAATTTGTTCTTTTCAAATGACCCAGCAGGTGTCCCTATCCCATCTGTCATGACGATGCTTTCCTCCCTGCAGGGTGGCCCTGGCCCCCTTGCCAGATTCCAGCTGGCCGTCAGTGCTCGCGTGTCTCTCTGAAGAGGCTCTGCGGTTCTGGTCCCTGTGCCTGAGCTCCAGGTGCCGCCAGGTGAGGCCCCTGCTGCTCGCCTTGGGCTGTGCTTTCCCCCAGCCACTCTCCTTCCCAGATGCAGCCCAGAGCAGCGTTCAGGCACACGCAGGTCTCATCACACCCCACTGTGTCCTACTGCAACTCTGGGTGTCCTTCAAGCCCTGAGGCAAATCTGCATTCTTTGCTGGATTCAGAAACATTCAGACTGTGCCCCAGCCAGAAGCTTCTGAGGAGGAGGTATTTCAGTGGGCCTCTAGCACAGTGTTCTACTGCTTCAGTTCCCAGGACCTACGGGCACCCGGGCCCACGGCTGGCACTTTTGCATCTGTGTATTTGGGATCTTTTCTGCCCTGTGGCTTGAGAGCCCCAGGAAGTCCCAGCATGGCCCCTCTTGAGACTGGTGGGAGTTTGTCCCATGTCCGAACAGAGGTAATTGGGCATTTGGTAGGAGATCACCTAGAAAGGCCGCTCTTGGGACTGCTGTTTAGGCTGTGAACTCCCATAAAACGGCTTCATCTTGGCCTCAGACTCCAGACAAATGCTTCTTAATATACTGAAATCTCTTCTTTGAACATTTTACAATGCCAATAGAACACTTTTTAAGTCAAGCTATACTGTATTACACACGCTCGCGCGCACACACAACGCTTCCCCTCAGAAGTGGAACTGCCAGGTTGTAGTGCATGAGCCCTTTTTCATCTTGGCAGTGGCAGATGTGTTTTGATCGTTTGTCATGGGTGGTGGTAGAATGTTAAGCATGTTTGAATAGCCACCGAGAATAGGTTGATTATGGAAAGAAAACACGGACAAAGTAGATTATGGACTGAATTGGGTTATACCAAGGAATTCCTGTTGCTTTTGCTAGTTGTAATAATAGCATTGTGTTTTGGTAAGAAAAAGGCCTTAGTGTTTAGTAATGCATACTGAAGCAGATGGGGCAAAATAACAGGTTGTCTGAAATTTGCTTTATTTTTTTATTTTATTTTATTTTTTTAGACAAGAGTCTTGCTCTGTCACCCAGGCTACAGTGCAGTGGTGCGATCTCAGCTCACTGCAACCTTTGCCTCTTGGGTTCAAGGGAATCTCCTGCTAAGTAATCCAAGTAGCTGGGATTACAGGCACCTGCCACTGTACCCGGCTAATTTTTGTATTTTTAGTAGAGACGGGGTTTCACCATGTTGCCCAGGCTGGTCTCGAACTCCTGACCTCAAGTGATCTGCCCACCTCGGCCTCCCAAAGTGCTGGGATTACAGGCGTGAGCCACCATGCCTGGCCTGAAATTCGCTTTAAATTACCTCAGGCAAATACAGAAATGTCCATGGCTTGATAAGAGGATGCTGAGGCAGCAAGATGCTGAGATCTCAGGATCTGGGTGATAGGCGGCTGGAAGGGCTCTGTGCTATCCTTTCTTCCTGTGGTTGAAAATGTTCATAATTTAAAGAAGGATGTTAAGGTTCGGAGTGTAGGACTTCCGAAAACATTGCATCTCCAGTGGGAATTATTGAGAGTGAGTGGCGACAGTTGCTCTAAGGCCAGCCGAGCAGATAGGTGTCTATCCTCAGCTCTCCAGGGTCTGTGGGCAGCTCTGCTTTTTCCTCTAGTTGCATTTCTTGAGGCCACTTAGGTACATTTCCTTTCTATTCTCTCCCTTTCCTGCCCAGACATTATACAACGTGAAGGCTGAGATCTTTCCCCCTTCGGGAATGGAGTATTGCAGAACAGGCTCCCTCTGCTCCCTGGAGGTTTTGATCACGAGGCTCTCAGACCTCTTGGAGGTGGATAAAGATGAAGCACTGACTGAATCTGATGAGCATTTTTCGACAAAGCTTATGTATGAAGGTAGGTGGTCTCGAACCCATGGGCTCAAGCAGTCCTCCCGCCTTGGCCTCCCAGAGTGTTGGGATTACAGGTGTGAGGCACTGCACTCAGCCTATCTTGCATTTTGAATGGCTCTTTTACCCAGGCATCATAGCGTTACACCCTGTGCCATTAGTCATGTGGGAAACATGGTTTCCTGAGTTGTGCAGATCTTCCAAATGTGGGCACCTTTCGTTTGACAATATTTTTTTAAAATCTGCATTTGTGATCTCTCAGGGAGGGCTTGGAGCATCAGAACTCTTTCAAGCTCACAGTGGCAAGTGTAAGTTTTCCAAAATTCTGATTTTTGCTTAAAGTCTCAGATGGCATCATTGGCAGCAAATAGTCGTGTTGTTTTCTTTGAAGTGACAGGCTTACATCATTCATTTTTAATCAGACGTCTACCAAATACCCAACACTGAATAACTAGCTTCCCCAGCGCTCTTGCAAGTGAAAAGGGCGTTCTGTGAAAACAGCGGCTATTTCAGCTCGCAGCACCGAGCGCTCCCCGTGTGCTTTCCCTGAGCCAGCTGTCATTCTGCAGCAGAGACCCAGAGAATGTCAAGAACACAAGCACTCAAGAATGGAAATAACTCAAACGTCCTTCAGCTCGAGAGCGGTTAAACTGGCACATCTGATTCCTCCTCAGCAGTGAAACAGAAGGGACTGTTGACACACGCAGTGCTGTGGTTGGATCTCAAGGGCATTATACTAAGAGAAAAACGCCAGTCCTATAAGGAGGTGTACTGTGTGATTCCATTTCTAAATGACATCCTCAAAATGCCAGCCTCAGAAGGAGAGCGGGTCAGTGTTCCACGGAGCAGTGGGAGGCAGCAGGAGGCCGTCCTCTGTGGTAATGGAGAGTTCTGGGCCAGGGCCGCTGTGGTTGTTACACGAATCTACACATGTGACAAATGCCATAGAATTAGACCCAAAGAATGCCTGCGAAAGCTGCTGAAATCCAGTGGGGTCTGCAGCCTGGTTCACTCTGTAGTGAAATCCAGTGGGGTCTGCAGCCTGGTTCTATCTGTATTGAAATCCAGTGGGGTCTGCAGCCTGGTCCACTCTGTAGTGAAATCCAGTGTGGTCTGCAGCCTGGTTCTATCTGTATTGAAATCCAGTGGGGTCTGCAGCCTGGTCCACTCTGTAGTGAAATCCAGTGGGGTCTGCAGCCTGGTTCTAGCTGTATTGAAATCCAGTGGGGTCTGCAGCCTGGTCCACTCTGTAGTGAAATCCAGTGGGGTCTGCAGCCTGGTTCTATCTGTATTGAAATCCAGTGGGGTCTGCAGCCTGGTTCACTCTGTAGTGAAATCCAGTGGGGTCTGCAGCCTGGGTCACTGTATGGTACCAGTGTCAGCTTCCTGTGTTACACGAGATGGCACAGTTGGGTGAAGCTGGTGATGAAGGTATGTGACCCCTCTACTACTTTTACAACTTCTTGTGAGTCTATAAACATTTCACAATTAAAAAAAAGTCTACTCAGGAGCTGAATTTAATAAAATGAGCACTTTTGACTGCTTTGTGAAGCGTGGCATTTTTTTTTTTGTTTTTTTGCTGTGAGTTCATGGTAGTAAAGAACATGAGTGACATGACTGCGCAGTCTGGCCCGAGTTCATGCCATTGTGGTTGCCCCAGCAGCGCGAGGTCAGCAGCGTAGAAAGGCAGCAGTGTGAAAGCTATGAGCTTGCGGGTGCCCTGAGAGCCACACTCTGAGAACTGTCACTCCTTTGCCTTCCTCCTGACACTCCTAGGGCCTCTGCATGTCCTGTAGTAGCTCCTGTCCTCAAAGGTCCCCCATCCCCAACTACAGGATGTCCACCTCCCTGAGCCCTTCTCTGCTGCTCGTGGCCTTCTGGTCACTCACTCCCCCTGGGCGGTTGCTCGGTATCCTCATGATGGGAAGCTGTGACCTCTTTACCAGGTCTACTGCTACTGGATGGCAAGGATCCTGTCTTGCTTACTTTCATATCTCCAGGGCTAGTCCCAGTGAATGATCACTTAAGTGTTTGAATTGCATTGAATTACATGATGGTTGTGTTTTAATAATTAATGTTAATAATAACACCTGCCATATATTAAGACACTACCATGTCCCAGGAGTGGTACTAAGTGCTTTACATACAAGGGGTCTTCAAAAAAATCATGGAAGATACGTTATGAAAAAACTATGCATGGATTTCAACACTTTTTGCACCAAAATAAGCTCCTACTCACTGAGCAGGATCTAGTTTGAGGCACTAAGAAGGATAAGACATCAGTTTTAAAAGAGCCCCTATCAGAGCAACATGAATTCTGCTAAAATTAAATCAAGAACCAACATTGGCCGGGTGCAGTGGCTCACGCCTGTAATCCCAGCACTTTGGGGGGCTGAGGCAGGCGGATCACCTGAGGTCAGGAGTTCAAGATCAGCCTGGCTAATATGGCGAAACCCCATCTCTACTAAGAATACAAAAATTAGCTGGGCGTGGTGGCAGGCGCCTATAAGCCCAGCTACTTGGGAGGCTGAGGCAGGAGAATTGCCTGAACCCAGGAGGCGGAGGTTGCAGTGAGCCAAAATTGCGCCACTGCACTCCAGCCTGGGCAACGAGCAAAACTCCGCCTCAACAACAACAACAACAACAAAACAACCAACATCAAATTTATGGTGAAGCTTGGGTGGAAGAATGGTGAAATCATTGATGCTTTATGAAAAGTTTATGAAATTCTTTGGACAGTGCCCCAAAGAATTAGTAGTTTGCAAATGGATATCTTGTTTTAAGAAGGGACGAGATGATGCTGAAGATTAAGGCCATAGCAAGCAGACCATCCACATCCATTTTCAAGGAAAAAATTCACCTTGTTCATGCCCTAATTGGAGGGAACTGACAACAGCAGAAATGACAGCCAACACCGCAGACATCTGAACTGGTTCAGCTTATGCAATTACGCCTGAAGGGTGAGCAAGCGTTCCACTCAGTGGGTGCCAAAACCCTAGTACCCAGGTCCGTGGCCGACCAGAGCAGAGCTTCCCATGGAAACTTCAAACACACGGGATCAAGATCCTGAAGCATTTACTCAAAGAACCATAACAGGAGATGCAGTGTGGCCTTCCCAGTACCATCCTGAAGACAAAGCAGACACGGCAATGGCTACCAAGAGGTGGGGTGGCCCCACCAAAGCAGAAGCAGACTGGTCAAGAGCAGAGGCCACAGCAACAGGTTTTTGGGATACTCAAGGCATTTTGCTTGTTGACTTTCTGGAGAGTCAAAGGACAGCAGCGTCTGTGTATTATGAGATTGTTTTGAGGAAGATAGCAAGAGCTTTGGTAGAAAAACCCCTGGGGAAGCTTCACCAGAGAGTCCTCCTCCACCACGACAAAGCTCCTGCTCATTCCTCTAACAAGCCCAACTTCGTGAGGGTTTCTATGGGAAATCATGAGGCATCCACCTTGTGGACCTGATTCGGCTCCTTCTGACTGATTTTGGTTTCCTGATCTTAAGAAGTCTTTAAAAGGCACCCATTTTTATTCAGCTAATAATGTAGAGAAAGACTGCGTTGACATGGCTAAATTCTCAGGCCTCCCAGTTCTTCAGGGATGGACTAAATGGCATCGTAAGCAATGGCATCATTGCTTACAAACATGTCTTGACCTTGGTGGGGCTTATGTTGAGAAATAAAGCTTATATTTTCTGTTTTCATCTTTGGATTCCATTTTTGCATGAACTTTTTGTAGTTCCCTCATACGTATTCTCTTTCCATCCTTAAAAAGCAGCTCTGTGAGGCTGGTGGTGGTCTCAGCACTATACAGCGGTCATTGAGCCTGGAGGCCTTGGGGTGCTCTTCTGAGTGGCAGAGTTGGCTTCAGACCCAGTGGTCTTGGATACTGCCACTTACCAGACAGAACCCATTAACTGCCAAAGTCACCATACTGTGGAAGATGACACAAAAATTTGAAAACAAAATTAAATCATTTATTAACCTCACAGGAAAAATGCAGTTTTCTGTACACGTCCAGCATAATTCATTCTAATCCAGAACTAATTGAAATTGGACTCAATGAAATAGGGGTTGCCACCGTGAAAGTGCATGGCTTTATCTTCAGGCGCAGCTACAAGGCACTGGGCTCTGTGTCCGCAGTGTTTTGTCAGACAGCGTTGGGTGAGAGGATTGGGTAACGACGGCCGTGACTCTCGCCTGAGTACTGGAAGGCCCGTCCTGGATGACACATCGCTTCCTCTCGTTTCAGTTGTCGACAACAGTAGCAACTGGGCAGTGTGTGGGAAAAGCTGCGGTGTCATCTCCATGCCAGTGGCTGCTCGGGCCACTCACAGGGTCCACATGGAAGTGATGCCGCTCTTCGCCGGGTATCTCCCCCTGCCCGACGTCAGGCTGTTCAAGTACCTCCCCCATCATTCTGCACACTCCTCCCAACTGGACGCTGGTAAGGACTTTGGAAGAAAAAGTTTACCTTCAGTATTTGAGCAGGTGAGCACTTTGTGCGAGAGGTGATAAACTTATGACTGAGCAGGTTGGAGAACTAGCGGCGTGTTTTCAGTGCCGGTAGAAACTGGTACTAGAAGCCTCATCCGCTGTTAGAATCTTAGGCACCTGCTCTGAAAGCCAAGCCTCTGTGCACAGAGTGCTCTGTAAAGGGGCAGCCTCGGGTGGCATTCTGCACGTTCAGCCTGGCTCCGTGTGGCTTTGCCCGTCCCCAGGTGAGTGTCGGCGCAGCTTGGGTCTAACTTCCTGTGTGTTTTGCAGACAGCTGGATAGAAAACGACAGCCTGTCAGTAGACAAGCACGGGGACGACCAGCCGGACAGCAGCAGCCTCAAGAGCAGGGGCAGCGTGCATTCGGCCTGCAGCAGCGAGCACAAAGGCCTACCCATGCCCCGGCTGCAGGCACTGCCGGCCGGCCAGGTCTTCAACTCCAGCTCGGGCACACAAGTCCTGGTCATCCCCAGCCAAGATGACCACGTCCTGGAAGTCAGTGTAACATGACAACGCCAGGGTGAACACACGCCACTTCCCAGCTAGGAGTGCACTTTATGGGACTGTGACTGGACTCTTCCGTTCTGGCTCCAGCCAGACCTTCAGTGGTCCTGCCTGGCCGTGGGGACATCAGAGAGTGTCATCACGCAGCTGGCCAGCTGAGTTCTGTTGTTGTTTTCATGCCGCCTGTGATCTCAGATTCCTGCTTTTCTCACCCCGTCCCCATGCTGGTGTCCGACGCCGCTTACTCAGAGCCCTGGCCTCCCTCCCCCTACCTCACACGCTGCTCATGAAAGTTTCCACCCACGCTGTCTCCACGGAACAGCCTCCGTCTGCTGGCTCTTCGTGGAAGGCCATTTGTCTTTCAGGTAGACACTCAGCAGCCCTCACGGTCTTAGTGACGTGTGTGCCTTTCTGGTCACACAGCTGCCCAGTTTCCTGATCGGGGTGGATTTGTGTCCCCTAAGGGGTAAAACAGCCGTTTACCGCAGATCCTCTCATTGTGCTTTTCTAGAATAACACCCTTCTAGGGGAGGCGGGTGGGGGAGGGAGGGATCATAACCCCTTCTGTGCCTTGGGATGCCGGAGCTGGGGGACCTGGAGGCCCATCAGCCGGAGCCACGTGAAAGGTACTGAAGAAAGCTGAGACCCGGCTGTGAGGAGCGCCTCAGCGGTGAGGTGGTTTAGGGATAAATGTTTCTGGAACCCTGTGGTCCCCCATAATGTTGATAGAATATCATATGCACTGGGAGTTAAATATATTTAATTTAATGATCATTATATATGTGGGGGTTAATATGTTGTTTTTCTGTCCCTTTAAAGTCTTTACATGTAATTGTAGCTGTATAATCGTTATTTTTCTTTTGCATCTTAAGTCTTAGAAATTAAGATATTCCATCGTGAGGATGAGAGAGGTCCTCAGTGTGTTTTTGGTCTGGTTGTAGGGAAGGACTCAAGTCCTGGAATGTCCTCCACTGGTCTACTGAGTTGCAGTCACACTGTTCCAATGGATTATTTGCTTTCGGTTGTAAATTTAATTGTACATATGGTTGATTTATTATTTTTAAAAATACAGACTAACTGATGTAATGTTTATGTATAAGTTGCACCAAAAATCAAGGACAAAAATAAGTGTGTTTGTTTTTACAGGTGTGAAAGTCACAGCTTGTAAATAAGTGTTGTATGTATTAAACCTTTTCCAGTTCTCCAAAGCGATGTATTTTTGTACACTTGAAATAGAGTACTCTTAATTTACTGGGCAAATGTGCTTGGAATTGAACTTGACAAGATTAGCTCAAGCAGATAGAGTCGGGTCCAGCAGTGGGTGGCCCTCGTGTGAATCCCCGTGGATGTGCAAGTTGTGGAGAGAAGGAGCACCGGGTTCCTGCCCAGCACTGTGCTTGCGGGAGGCGGTGGGGCATGGGAGGAAGGAGGCACAGACCGGGGAAATATGACAGCCGTCATTTCCAGTATTCTCTGTGTTGTCTTTTAGCTCATTCAATAAATAAAGGTGGTGTGATTTTTTTTTCCTCCTGTCTTTTTCATTTGTAGAAACTGGAGACGTGTAAAGAAGATAAATAATTGTGTAATTAAACTTTCCAGAAATTTATCTTCCTCATGTGCAGTTTAACAAACTTGGTCAAACTAGTTAGCAAATTAGAACTTCAGAATCTAATGATAGTTTAGGGTTTCTAAAATAAGGTTTTTTATTGTAAAAATTGACGATTGCCCTGCATTTCTACCAAGTCCTGTGAATAAAGAGATGGGAGATTTGATTCCGTCAGAAGAGACTGTAATCCGTGTCGTCAGCCTGGGAGCCTTCCCCAGTGTAATGTAGCTTTCTCTCTTACCTTCTGGAAGAGGGAATGTTTCATTTATTACTGTTTGATTTTCTTGTATCTGGTTCTACTCCCAGGATGAAATTATCCAACTACATATATATTTAGAGGAAGAAAGTGAAGGGGAAATTTAAAATGTTTACGGCGCTTAATTGCCTGGAAATGAAATGAAATCAAATTTATCAGTTTTTTTCCCCCTAATTACCCAAAAGATCTTTTGCAAACTATGTTACATGAATGCTTCTGCCTCTTTAAGACAAAGAAGAATGTCACCCAAAATTGTCATTTTTTTCTTAATGTTCATCATAAAAGTCCTAAAAGAGTAACTGTAATTGGATGTTTATTGTTTTTATCTAAAGTAAGGTGTATGTGTTTGAGACAAGCTGGTTTTGTTGATAAAGAGATGTTAAATAATTGTGAAGCCAGATATGCAATGTGTATCTGAAAAGCAAGGAATTTGCAGCCGTTTTACAAATATCTGTGGAACATGTAAATACTGTCAAATGGAAAATAAAATAAGTTATAATTTTTGTGAATTTCATGGGATGTCCTATGATTGGAAAAATTATAACTCTTCTGATTCTAATGTGGAAATTGTTGTATTTAATCTGAAAATGACTTTACCTACAACAGTTCCATTGTCAGCACAGCCTAGGAAGGTCAGATCCTGTATTAATTACTCTTAGTGGAGATGCCAGATATCCCATACAGAATTAGCAGAGAAAATACACACAGGCTTCTATTCAAATTTTCTTTAGTGCTTAAAATTAAGTTTTAAAATGAAATCAGACACTGCAGGTTTGTATATAAAATGAAAAGCTATACTACTTTTTACAAAAGGGCAAACTGGGCTGATGTAAATGTTTTACTTTCAACTGTGTTCTTTAAAATAAATCCTACCTGGTTTTTAAATTTTATTTTTCATGAAAATGCTCCTTTCTCTACATTTATTCATCCTATATACATCAGGCTGTAAGACCCCCCCCAGTCATCATTAATACAATGTGTTGGGATTCTGTGACTGGAAAAGGTGACAAGTTGGTGACTTTGACACTGCAGGTATTCCATTTTCATGGTTTACTATGAAAAGTCATTTTTCATATTATGTAATATATTGTTAGATTAAAACCATTGTATTAAGACTTTAAAATGTAAGCATTGTAATTCTGAAAATACACATTTTAAGAAGAAACTATTTTGCACTGGATCTTTTGCTGCGACATGGTGTGACAACAGTATGTAATGTGAAGATTTTATTGTTTTATCTCCCTAGTCCTTGTTCCTGACTCTTGGGCATAGATTATTTGCCTTTTGGGAAACATTCGGATTATTTTTTTTTTTTTTTTTTTTTTTTTCTCTGAGACAGTCATGCTCTGTTGCCTAGGCTGGAGTGCAATGGCGCGATCTGGGCTCACTGCAGCCTCCGCCTCCCAGGTTCAAGCCATTCTCCTGCCTCAGCCTCCCGAGTAGCTGGGACTACAGGCATGCGCCTCATTTTTATACTTTAGTAGAGATGATGTTTCACCATGTTGGCCAGGCTAGTCTCGAACTGCTGACCTCAGGTCATCCACCCGCCTCAGTCTCCCAGGCGTGAGCCACCGCACCGGCCAGCATTCGGGACTTTATTCATAATTCCTTACCCAACAGTTCACAAGAACGAAGACATTTGGGTGTGCAGCGCTCTCATGTTGTGGACGCTGCTGTGCCAGGCTGGGCGTCCGTGCGGAGCGCGCCCAGCGCTGGAGCGCGCCTAAGAGGCGCCCTGCAGTGTGGCTCCGGGGTGTGGGCGGGGCCCGGAGAAGGCCCCCGCCTTGGGAGGGGTTGGGCCTCGCGTTCAAACTCCGCCTCGGGGCGGGGCGAGGGCGACGCAGCTCCTCCTGCCTCCTGGGCCGCTGCGGACGGTGGTGCGCGACCCCGTCCCGGGCGCGCGCGCTGTGGGCGGTGCACGCCGTCGCTTCCCGGAAGTGCGTGCTGTGGGCGGTGCCGCGCGGACCCCCGGGAAGTGTCTCTGTGGGCGGCCGCCGGGTTGAGCTGCGGCACACGTGCGACGGCCGTGATGAAGTTCGCTTACCGGGTGAGCGCGGGCGGCGGGCGGTCTGTTGGATCGGCGCGGCTCTTCCGGTGGACGGCGCCTGAGCTGGCTCCGGGCGGGCTGGGGGCGCGTGGTCTGCTTTTGCGGCGTCTGGCCGCGTGGGGGTCGCCGGCTGTCTGCGCGCCCGTGGCCTCGGGGACGCGGGGCTGTGGTGGGGCTCCTGGGAGAGCTGGGACGGAGGCGCCGACGGCTTCTCGGAGGGAACAGGGACATTTGTCGGGGTCCCGGGATATTTTTAACCTGAGTATGGCCCAACCTAAAGGCTGGAGTTGGTGCAGTCGGGGAGGGCACAGCACCCTCGGGAGGGATGAGGAGGTGGGACGGGGCGGGGACGCGGGCGCGCGCAGGCGGGGTGAGAACAGCAGGGACCCGGGGCCCGGGACTGGTCCCTAACGAGCGAGCGTCCAGGTGAGCGGAAGGGCGGGGAACCCAGGTGTGAGCTCTGTTTCCCGAGGCCGGAGGGAATTCCTGAGGCGGACGCCCTCAGCTTTGAGAGCCAGGGAAGACTTGTCCCAGATGTGAAGTGCAGGAGGCGGGTGAGACAGGTAATAAGAGGGGGCCGTGGAGCCGGCCTGGGGGTCTCTGAAGCGTTTGCTACAGCTGGCCGGTTATGGGGACGCCTGTGTTTCCCACAGTGGCCCTGACCGTTGCGCTTCCAGGGTTGCACGGGCCGCCTGCTGCTGAGCCCACCGTGTACTACACTTGTCCTGTCCGAAACTGGGCATGGTACTGGCCCCTCAGAGTGCTGCTCCTGTGTCCCCTGTGCTGGTGGAGCCACCGCTGTGTGCCCAGCACCAAACCAGAAACCATATCCACGTCCTCACAGGCCAGGACTTCATCCGCTCCACATTCCTACTGCAAGGTGGCAAAAAATGTGCCTTGGAGCCTGCCTGGCCGCTTAAAGTCCTTCTGCTGACCAAGCTCCTCCCTGAGGTCCTGAGGGCGCTGCCCACTCACAGCTTCAGGGCCTGGCTGGTGCCTTCCCATTTAGATTCCAGCTCAGGTGACCCTTCCAGGTGCCTCTCCGTGACCACCGTCTAAAGTAGCCCCTGCTCCCACACTTCTCATCCCCCTCCTGCTAGAGAGAGAATATAAGGTGTGCGTGTCTGTGCGCATGGCAGTCTCCAGTGAACGCTCGTGCTCGTGAGTTAGTAAATAGGATGCTGGCTTACCACACTTCTGGAAGCCCTGAGTTCTAAGCACTTTTGGGGTGCTGTTCCATTGTTGCAGCTTTTTTCTTGGTGAAGTGTGGGCTCCATGCCCCTCTTCACCTGGCAGACGCCTCCTGTCTTGGGAGGCTTCCTCAGTGCTCACAGGGGCATCTTACCCATCTCTGTGGGAGCTTGGGGCCGCCCGGGCTCCTCTGGTCTCCTGAGGATCAGGCTCACTTCTTCCTCTCTTACCCAGGAAAGGTGAACGGGCCCCCAAGGTGGGGTTCTCTATGCCATCTCTCTGCCCAGATGCCTCACTTAGTGCTTTTCTGGGAGTCGACTGTTTTCTTTGTGTTAAGACAATTTTGTTTTCTTCACAGTTTTCAAATTTGCTGGGTACGGTGTACCGGCGTGGGAACCTAAATTTTACCTGCGATGGAAATTCAGTTATCAGTCCCGTGGGCAATAGAGTCACTGTATTTGACCTTAAAAAGTAAGTATGTGAAAGTGGTATTCATAATAGTGATACTGATTACTATTATCACCATTTTTTAAGTAACATATGAAAACTGATAGTGTCTTCTGTGCCTTCCTTTTAATGGTGCACCCGTTAATTAAGGGAGCCCAGGACAGGACTACAGGACAGACTAGGGTCAGCAGATCAGTTGTGGAAATTGGCAGCCAGACCCAGTTCTTCGTTGTAGTGCCTTAGCCAGGCCCCATAAAGTGGTGTGTCACTTGGCTCCGTTCTGTGGGAAGGGACCCTGTCCCTGTGCTGTGAAGGGTGGGTGGGGGAAAAGGTGTAGCTCAGGGTTAGCCCTTCCCCCATCAGGGAAGGCCCCTAAGGGCTGAAAGGCCAGGGCTGCTGGGGGAGTTGAAGGTACCTTGGACCCCTGCTCGGGAGCCCTGCTGCCACTGGGCCTCACCAGTCGGACGGGCAGGCCCAAAGCTTCCAGCTCTGCAGCCGGAGGTCAGTTTTATTCGCTGGGGTTTAGCGGTTTCTTCCTGTGTGCTGTTGCACTTTGCTTCACTTTGTTGCACTCTGGCTCTGTGCGGATGCTGTTTTACCACGAAGCGAAGGTGTGTGGAAACACTGCTTGGAGAAAGTTGGTCGGTGCCATTTTTCCAGCAGTGGGGGCTCACTTCATGTCTCTGTGTCACATTTTGGTAATTTTGTGATATTTCAAAGTTTATTATACCTGTGAGGGTGATTTGTGATCATCTTTGCTGTTGCTATCGTGATTGTTCTGGGGTGCCGTGATCCGTGCCCATGTAAGACAGCGAGCTTAATCGGTAAGCACTGTGTGTGCTGTGCCTGCTCCACCGACCGGCTGTTCCCCACCCCCCCACGTCTCTCTTCCTCTACTTGGGTCTCCCTATTCCCTGACACAAACAATGCTGAAATTAGGCCAGTTAATAATGGCCTACAGTGGCCACTACGTGTTCATGTGAAAGGAAGAGTCACACAACTCTCACCTGAAATCAGAAGCTAGAAGGGACTCAGCTTAGTGAGGAAGGCATGTCAAAAGCTGAAATAGGCCAAAAGCCAGGTCTCTGCCACCAAACAGGCAAGTTGTGAATGCAAAGAAAAAGCTTTTGAAGGAAATTAAAAGTGCTACTCCAGTGAACACACAAATTACAAGAAAGCCAAAATAGCCTTATTGCAGATACGGATAAAAGTTTGAGTGATCCAGATAGAAGATCAAACCAGCCACAACATTCCTTTAAGCAAGTCAAAGCCTAATGCACAGCAAGGCCCTACCTGTCCTCTGTTCTGTGAGGGCTGAGGTGAGGAAGCTGCAGGAAAGAAGTTGGAAGCTAGCAGAGGTTGGTTCATGAAGTTTAAGGAAAGAAGCCATCTCTACAACATAAAAGTGCAAAGCGAAGCAGCAAGTGCTATGGAGAAGCTGCAGGAAGTTATCCAGAAGATCTAGCTGAGATCATTGATGAAGCTGACTACACTAAACACAAAATTTCAATGGAGACAAAACAGCCTTCTATTGGAAAAAGATGGCCAGGCGCAGTGGCTCATGCCTGTAATCCCAACACTTTGGGAAGCCAAGGTAGGCAGATCATTTGAGGCCAGGAGCTTGAGACCAGCCTGGCCAATATGGTGAAACCCCGTCTCTACTAAAAGTACAAAAATTAGCCAGGCATGGTGGCACATTCCTGTAATGCCAGCTACTCAGGAGGCTGAGGTGGAAGAATTGCTGGAACCTGGGAAGCAGAGGTTGCAGTGAGCTGAGATCGTGCCAGTACACTCCAGCCTGGGCAACAGAGCAAGACTCTATCTAAAAATAAATAAATTAAAAAAAAAGAAAAAGATGCCATCGAGGACTTACATAGCTAGAGAAAAGTCAGTGTCTGGCTTCAAACAACAGGCTGACTCTCTTATTAGGGGCTAATGCAGCTGGGGCCATTAAGTTGAAGCCAGTGCTAATTCACTGTTCTGAAAATCCTAATGCCCTTCACAATGATGCCCAAGCTACTCTGCCTGTGCTCTATAAGTGGAACAGCAAAGTCTGGACGACAGCACATCTGTTTACAGCATGGTTTCCTGAATCTTTCCAGCCCATTGTTGAACCCACTAAGGTTCCTTTCAAAATATTTCTGCTGTTGGACAACGTACCTGGTCACCCATGAGCTCCAATGGAGACGCATAAGGAGATGCTGTCTTCATGCCTGCTAACACCACATCTCTTCTTCAGCCTACGGGAGTAACTTTAACTTTCAAGTCTTACCATTTAAGAAATATATTTTATAAGGCTCTAGCTGCCAAAGATAGTGATTCCTGTAATGGATCTGGGAAAAGCCAATAAAAAGCTTTCTGGGAAGGAGTCGCCATTCTAGTTGTCATTTCATGATTCATTCAATGAGGGCAAAGTGTCGACATTAACAGGAGTCTGACAGAAGTTTAGTATCAAGCCTCATGGATGACTTTGAAGGGTTCGAGACTTTGGTGGAAGAAGTTACTGCAGATGCAGTAAAGATAGCAAGAGGATTCGAAATGAAAGCAGAGCCTGAAATGGGACTGAATTGCCGCAATGTTGCCATCAATCTTGAATGAATGAGGAGCTGCTGCTTGTGGATGAGCAAAGCAAGTGGTTTCTTTTCTTTTTTTTGAGACAATGTCTCACTCTTGTCCCCCAGGCTGGAGTGCTATGGCATGATCTTGGCTCACTGCAACCTCCACCTCCTGGGTTCAAGCAATTCTCCTGCCTCGGGCCCCCCTACCAAGTAGCTGGGATTACAGGCGCCTACCACCACGCCCAGCTAATTTTTGTATTTTTAGTAGAGAAGGAGTTTCATCATTGTTGGCCAGGCTGGTCTAGAACTCCTGACCTCAGGTGATCCACCCGCCTCAGCCTCCCAAAGTGCTGGGATTACAGGTGTGAGCCACCATGCCCGGCCAGCAAGTGGTTTCTTGAGATGGAATCTACTTCTGGTGAGGATGCTGTAAAGACTGTTGAAATGACAACAAAGGATTTAGAATATGACATCAACTTAGTTGATAAAACGCTGGGAGCATTTGTGAGGATTGACTCCGGTTTTGAAAGAAGGTCTGTTGTGGGTAAAATGCTATCAAACAGTATCACATGCTACAGAGACATCTTGTGAAAGGAAGAGTCCATCGATACGGCAAGCTTCACTGTTGTGTTAGGAATTGGCAACGGCCACCCCGTTTTCAGCAGCTGCCACTGTGCCTGGTCAGCAGCCATCCACATCGAGGCAGACTGTCTGCCAGCAAAAAGATGAAGACTCACTGAAGGCTCAGATGATTGTTAGCATTTTTTAGCAGTAAAGTGTTTTTAAATTAAGGGATGCACGTTGTTGCTTTAGACAGAATGCTTGTGCACACTGATAGACTACAGCACACATGAGTAGACTGCAGCGCACACCAATAAAGTACACACTTCGACGACAGTACACACGAACAGACTACAACTCACACGAATAGAGCACAGTGCACGCTTACAGACTACAGCACACGCTAGTAGACTACGCCGTACTGTTTACAGTATGGTGTAAACACAGCTCGGCTGCTTATGGGGAAGCTGGAATGTGTGTGCCTCACTCAGTTGCAGTGTAAGCGTTATCTGCAGCATCTCCGCGGGATTCCTGTAGCCCCTTATTTTCCATTTTTCTAGCAACAGTGTTACATGGGTGCACTGTCATGGTGGTTAATTCCTGTTGGGCACTTAGCTTGCTTCTGGTATTTTGATGTCACACTGAGGCGGAATAATCCTCTCATCATATCATCCTGGAAGCAGAATTGATGTATCCAAAGCCCATTTTTAAGGCTTTTAATGCATTTCACTAGAGTTCCTCCAGGGACAACGTCATTTCTTTTTCTTTTTTTTTTTGAGACAGAGTCTTGCTCTGTCACCTAGGCTGGAGTGCAGTGGTGCGGTCCCAGCTCACTGCAACCTCTGCCTCCCAGGTTCAAGCGATTCTCCTGCGTCAGCCTCTTGAGTAGCTGGTATTACAGGCGCCCACCACCACGCCTGGCTAATTTTTTGGGTTTTTTTGTTTGTTTGTTTGTTTTGAGGCAGAGTCTTGCCCTGTCGCCCAGGCTGGAGTGCAGTGGTGCAACCTTGGCTCACTGCAAGCTACACCTCCCGGGTTTACGCCATTCTCCTGCCTCAGCCTCCTGAATAGCCGGGACTACAGGCGCCCGCCACCACACCCGGCTAATTTTTTGTATTTTTAGTAAAGACGGGGTTTCACCGTGTTAGTGAGGATGGTCTCAATCTCCTGACCTCGTGATCCGCCCGCCTTGGCCTCTCAAAGTGCCGGGATTACAGGTGTGAGCCACCGCGCCTGTCCAATTTTTTGTTTTTTGTTTTTATAGTAGAGACGGGGTTTCACCATGTTGACCAGGCAGGTCTCGTACTCCTGACCTTATGATATGCCCGCCTTGGCCTCCCAAAGCACTAGGATTATAGGCGTGAGCCACCGTGCCCGGCCAACAATGTCATTTCTTTTTCAGGAGTGGGGGGTATCCACAGATGAGCTCTGGCTTGTGGGGTCCAGTAAGATTGGAGGCGCTACTTGGGGAGGGTGAGCCGCTGGTCCCAGGCCAGGCCTGGCCTGTCTCCCTCATGTGACTTGAGGACCAACAGCACACTGTGGTTTTTGTCTTTATCAGCAACAAATCTGACACGCTGCCCCTGGCCACTCGGTACAACGTCAAGTGCGTGGGGCTGTCCCCGGATGGCCGCCTCGCTATCATCGTCGATGAAGGTACTTGCCCTTGATGTGGGCGGGTACTGAGGGGACCAGTGAGGAGGACTCAGGGCTGTGTGGGTCTGAAATGATCCGCTCCCCAGTCGCCTCCGTGTTGGGGCCCGGGTGGGGATTGGGGATGAGGGTGTCATGGGCGAGGCTGCGTCCCCGCCGCAGGCTGTGTCTGTGGCATCACCTGTGGCAGGGCAGGGCCTCATGGCCCTTGGGCATTCTCAGTCCTGACTCCTCACAGTGGACGCGAGAAAGACCTTTCTCCGTTTTTCCCGTGCTATGTATCTGGGGTGGCCCCTGGGGTAGCTGCGCGGTGGTGACCTCTGGCGTCCTGCAGGGGGCGATGCGCTGCTGGTCAGCCTGGTCTGCAGGTCTGTGCTGCACCACTTCCACTTCAAGGGCTCTGTGCACAGTGTGTCCTTCTCCCCTGATGGCAGGTAAGGGGGACAGCTTGGGGGCAGGAGGGTTCGGCCGTGCATGCCGACGGTGAGGCCCACTGCCCAGCTCGTTTCCCTGGGCCCCGGGTTGTGACGTTGGGTTGGGCACACGGCCCAAGCTCTGGCATTGGTGACCCCCTTTTCTGGAGGAGAAGGCTTGGTGCGGCCAGGCTGCCCTCCCTCCAGGGCTGTTTCTTCCCTGACTTTTGCTTCCTCTGCTCCTTGGCCTCCATCCTGCAGGAGGCGGGACTCCAGAAGGCCCAGGTGGGTGCAGGCTGAGACTCCACAGTGGCCTTAGGGCCATTGCTGGTCTTGAATATCAACTATGTCCGCGTTCCTTCCATAGGAAGTTTGTTGTCACAAAGGGTAACATTGCCCAGATGTATCATGCCCCTGGGAAGAAGCGGGAGTTCAACGCCTTCGTTCTGGACAAGACCTATTTTGGGCCCTACGATGAGACCACCTGCATCGACTGGACGGATGACTCCAGGTGCGGCCTCAGAGGCTTCGGGGGAGCGGGGCTTGAGAGAGGCCCCTTGGACAGGTCACCCCCTTGGGCCCTGCAGCTTCGTTCCGCAATGGCATCTCGGCCTCCTTTGGGGCTGGGCGCTGCCCACACCATCAGGACTGGCTGGGTGGCTGTGGTCGAGTCTTTGCGGCTCTGAAGTGTGTGCTGTGGCCGAGCCTCCTGCCCCTGCACTGCCCTTTCACCTGTTTGTCCCAGAAACTGGGAATGCTGTGGTTGGCTCGGGCAGCGTCTGGGAGGAGTTAGGAAGGCAGACAGGGCAGGGACAGCGTCTGGGAGGTGTGAGGAAGGCAGACAGGGCAGGGGCTGTGCCGGGGTGTCTTCCTGTGCCTGGAGGCGTCTCAGCTCACTCTGAGACCACGTGGGGCTGTAGCGGTCTCCGTGCAGCCCTCTGGAGCTTGCACCTGGCTGCTTTGTTATGGCCAAGCCCTGAGGAGGTGCCATCTCCCTCTTTTCCAGGTGCTTTGTGGTTGGGAGCAAAGACATGTCCACCTGGGTGTTCGGAGCCGAGCGCTGGGACAACCTCATCTACTATGCACTGGGGGGACATAAGGATGCCATCGTGGCCTGCTTCTTTGAATCCAACAGCCTGGACGTATGTCCCTTTGCCAAGTTCCCTAGCCTGATGGTGGCCAAAAGCGGCTAGTTCAGGGAGGCCCCAGGCTGCAGGCGGCCTCTTCCTGCGGTTCCCCCAGGCTGTTCCCGTGTGGCCTGGGGGCATCTAGGGACCGATGGCAGCTGTGGCGGCCCATCGAGAATTGTTCTCAGAGTTCAGAGGGGCCGTCGGTGCCACTGGTCCCTGGATCTGAGCTGGAGGGAGGTGCCGGGTTGTGGCAGCTGGGCCAGTGTGGCTGGGGCTGGGGTGACCCTGTGCTTCCCCTTGCAGCTGTACTCACTCAGCCAGGACGGAGTGCTGTGCATGTGGCAGTGTGACACGCCCCCCGAGGGCTTGCGGCTGAAGCCCCCTGCGGGCTGGAAAGCAGACCTGTTGCAGCGGGAGGAGGAAGAGGAGGAGGAGGAGGACCAGGAGGGCGACAGAGAGACCACCATCCGGGGAAAAGCCACTCCGGCCGAGGAGGAGAAGACAGGAAAAGTGAAGTACTCACGGCTGGCCAAGTAGGTCTCTGAGGTGTGGTGGGCTGTGGCGGGGCACTCCTGTGGGAATCTCTTGCCCCCAGAGGGATCTGGATGTGGGGTCCCCAGGGCCGAGGAGTGGGAGGTACAGAGAGCAGGCCTGCGTCTCAGGGCCCCGGTTTGAGCACCCTCGAGTGCTTGGGTGTTGACCCTGCCCCTTAAGCAGGGTCCCTGCCTCGGCTGTCTGAGCTGCCTGTGTGCCCAGGGCAGGGCAGAGGGCGGTGGGTAGGGGTGCATAGGGGGCAGGGAGGTGTGCGGGCACTCCGTGACGGGAATAGCAGCACCTTGGGCCCTAAGGGGGTTGGGAGTTGTCTGTGGCCCCACCAGCTTCTGTGGAGTTTGGTGTGGGCGATAGTCCCTTGGCCTCGTGCAGGGAGATGCCGGGAGAGCATTTGGCAAGGGTGGAGGGAGGGACCGGGCTGTGAGTGGGCGCAGCGAGTGGTCTGAGTCCTGCTTCGGGGCCCGCTGGTGGGTGGTACTTGGTGCTTTTTCAGGCACTGAGCTGGGCCGTGCAGCCCCGCATCCGGACTCAGTCCCCCAGACGAGACGAGATGAGATGAGACTGAGCCCGGCCCCACGGACTGCCTGTGGGATGGCCTTAGCTGTGCCTGGAGCCCTGGCAGAGATGCTGCCCTGATTCGGGGTGTCCCGCGTCTGGGCTGTGGGGGGAGGCTGGTCAGGATCACATGAAGGCAGAGTTGCCCGCAGCTATGGTGTCTCCGTCACCCGGGTGCCCCAGCCTGGGCCCCTCCTTGCTGCAGTTGCTTAGCGCCTGCTGTGTGCAGGGCTCTGAACTTGGCACTGAGACACACTGCCCACCCTTGTGAGGCCTCCTCTCCGCCGGGGAGGAGAGGTGCAGTGATGAGGTGGCTGCGTGCGGAGGTGGGCGGCAGTTGGGGTCCCTGGGTGGGGAAGGCGCCCACACAAGGCCCTGCCTGTGGAGGGAGCCAGGCGGCCAGAACGGGCTGCCTTTGGAGGGGTTGGGGTCTGCTGGGTAGGTGGGAGTTGTGGCCATGAGAGCCCTGGGTCTGAGGAGCAGGGAGGGCCGGCTGGACTCCAGTGGGAGGAGGGTGCTTTGCCAAGGGCAGCGGAGTTGGAGGGTGGCCAGAACAGGTCCAAGTGGGTCAGTGCCCACAAGTGAGTCAGTGCCCGCGGGTGGGTCAGTGCCCGTGAGTCCGTGCCCGTCAGTGCCCGCGGGGACTTGGGGGTGTTGTGCTGGAGTCAAGACTTGAATGGGGACTGGAGGAAGAGGAAGGGATGATGGGCCCCCCAACCCCGCCCTGGGGAAGGGAGGTTCCAGGCAGCTCCAGGAAGACAGTGTGCCTGCTAGGCGGGGACTGCGGGCTGTCAGCGCGAAACATGTGAAGGGAGGGCCTGCTGCATTGGCAGCCAGTGCTCCCTGTCACTTGTTCAGGAGGGACGGGGTCCAGAAAGGAGAGGGAAGGACCAGGGCTGAGCTACAACGTGACTTGGGGAGGTTTTGAGGGCGGGGGTGCCATCAGGGTCACCTTCGTCTGCTGATGGGGACCGAGGGTTCCTTAGAGGAGGAAGCAGCAGGGGATGATGGGATTCGGGTGTGCCTGGCGGCCATGCCGCGCCTCCCGCACCTCCTCTGCCTCCCATGGGCACTGCTGTCTCTGGGTGCACCACTAGCTCTGCTGTGGGGCCAGCTGGCGACAGTGGAGATGCTGTGTGAGGTTCCTTTGGGGTCCCGAGCTTGGGATGGAGGCGGGCAGCTTCAGGGCCTGGGGTGGAGAGGGAGAGGGCAGGTCTGGGACCTCCTGCCTGGATCTGTGGCCTGTGTCCTGGAGCCCAGAGCAAGCTGGGGTGGCAGTCTGGCTCTGCGCTCCTCCTCACAACTCTTCTCTCTCGTCAATTCAGGTACTTCTTCAATAAAGAAGGGGATTTTAACAACCTGACAGCTGCAGCATTTCATAAGAAGTCTCACCTCTTGGTCACTGGCTTTGCTTCTGGAATCTTCCATCTTCATGAGCTGCCAGAGTTTAACCTCATCCACTCCCTGAGGTAAGCCTTTGCTCGCAGTGGGGTGTGGTTTTATGCACTCACTGGCCCTGAATCTGAGGGCCCAGCCAAGCCTGCCCTTAGCAGTGGGGGCAGCAGAGCCACTTGGAGCGCCGGCTCAGGCCACAGGACGGCAGCCCGAAACCTGCCCGGCCGCTGGTGCTGGTCAGTGCGACAGTGTTGCCGCCCCCACTGGCAGTCAGCAGCATTGGTCTCGGGTCAGTCACAGCCTTTCAAGTTTTTGTCTCCGCTTTTCTTCATCTGTGAGACACAGAGAACGAAAATACTATGCTCATAAAATTGTGAAGTTGCAAGTTGTTGAACCCTGGCCTCCCCTCTGGGCCTTCTCTGATTCTTTTCTTTGAGACAGAGTCCTGCTCTGTCGCCCAGGCTGGAGTGCGGTGGCGTAATTCGGTTCACTGCAACCTCCGCCTCCCGGGCTCAAATGATCCTCCCACTTCAGCCTCCTGAGGAGCTGGGGCCACAGGTGTGCGCCACTACACCCGGCTAGTTTTTAAATTTTTTGTCGAGACGGGTCTTGCTGGGTTTTCCCAGCCTGGTCTTGAACTCCTGGGTTCAAGCAATCCTTGCCTCCGCCTCCCAATGTGCTGGGATGACAGGCGTGAGCCACTGCACCCAGCCCTCTGATACTTGAACTGAAGTGAATTGTTGGAGTCTGGTGAGTGGGTGGGGTAAGCTCTGCACACAGGGATAGAATCTGGTGTCTGGGGCTGCCCTGAGTGGGCACTGGGGCTTCAGCCCGGGCAGGCTGGCCTCCCACTTACAGGCCCGTTCTCTGCAGCATTTCAGATCAGAGCATCGCCTCAGTGGCCATCAATAGCTCGGGGGACTGGATTGCTTTTGGCTGTTCAGGTTTGTCCCCCGCCTGGGTGGTAGAGATGGACTCCCCATTAGGGACCAGTGCTGCCCGGCTACAGGCATACTTGACAGCCACCCACTGGGGGTGCCCTCCCCTCCCCCAGTTGTCTTCCATGGGGTGCCCTCTCCCCCAGCCGCCTTTCAGAAGGGGCCCTCCCCTCCCCCAGCTGTCTGCCATGGGGTGCCCTCCCCTCCTCCAGCCACCTTTCAGGGGGTGCCTTCTTCTCTTCCAGCTGCCTCCCAGGGGTGCCCTTCCTGCTCTGGCCCTCCTCAAGCACCTCTCTGTCTTAAGCCCCTTGCTCAGGGGTCGGGGGTCATAGCCTGCCTCAGTTGTGACCTGCAACCACTGGGTTGCACGGGCGGGGCCCATCACTGGCTGGTGAAGCTGCAGCATCGGGCAGTGGTCCCAGCCTATGCTTGGGGGTTTGTGCGTTTCACCCCCTGCCCGGCAGCTTTCTCAGTCCTGTGCCAAGTGGGAAGGTGGGCCGGGCCAGTCTGACCTGGGGTGGGCCTGAGCCGGGTACCCCAGCTTCCCCCGTGTGCACAGGCCTGGGCCAGCTGCTGGTGTGGGAGTGGCAGAGTGAGTCCTACGTGCTCAAGCAGCAGGGCCACTTCAACAGCATGGTGGCCCTGGCCTACTCGCCCGACGGACAGTACATCGTGACTGGCGGGGACGACGGCAAGGTAGGCTCCTGTCCCCGTCCCGTTGGCCTCTGTGCCTGGGGGGCTGTGAAGATGCAGTGGTCTGTGGGGCCGTGTCTTGACGGTAGGGCTGGTGTTCACAGCTTCACCCGGGCTCATGAGCTCAGTAGGCGTTTAAAAACATACAAAAATGTGAATGGAGAGGGTTGGGTGTCCCTCTTTCCCCTTTCTGACTTGGTCTCCTGCACGGTGGTGGCTGCGTGGCGGGGAGAGGGTCTGTGGTGCCGGCAGCCGGCATCCAGCCAGTGTCCAAGGGGCTCCAGTACGTGGCCGAGGGTGGGTCCATGGTACTGGCAGCTGGCATCCGGCCAGCATCCACAGGGTTCTGGTGTGTGCAGTGCCCCTGCGGGCCATCTAGGCCTTAAATGGGCTCCTCCTGGAGGTGACAGGAAGAGACTGGGGCAGACGGCCCACTCACCACCCACTCAGCACAGCCTCAGGCCTGTTGGGGAGGCTGAGTGAGCCAGGGCAGCCGTGGGCACAGGGGCAAGGCTCTCAGGATGTGGCGTCACATGCGGGGGTCTCAGGGATGGGGTGTCAGTTGCAGGTGGGGGTCTCAGGGATGGGGTATCAGTCACAGTTGGGGGTCTCAGGGATGGGGTTTCAGTCATGTGCGGGGATCTCGGATGGAGTGTCAGTCACAGTTGGGGGTCTCAGGGATGGGGTATTACTCACGGGTAGGGTCTCAGGGATGGGGCAGTACAGGGGCAAGCATCTTAGGTGGGGCGGCATGGGGACAGGGATCCTGGCCGAAGCCGTGGCACACAGGGTTGGGGTCTGCCCCCGCCCCTCCTGTCCTGCCTCAGGTCAAGGTGTGGAACACCCTCAGCGGCTTCTGCTTCGTCACTTTTACGGAGCACTCCAGCGGGGTGACCGGTGTGACCTTTACTGCCACCGGCTACGTTGTGGTGACCTCATCCATGGACGGGACCGTGCGAGCCTTTGACCTTCACAGGTGATGTTTTTGCTCCGGATTGGCTTGGGGCAGGCTTCCCCCACGCAGAGGTGAAGGTGGAGGGTGAGGCTGCAGTGCAGCTGCTGGGGCAGGGGACCCTGGCACGTGACTCTGACCTTGCCTCTTCTCTGCAGGTACCGAAACTTCCGCACCTTCACCTCTCCACGCCCCACCCAGTTCTCCTGTGTGGCGGTGGATGCGAGCGGTGAGATCGTCTCTGCAGGGGCGCAGGACTCCTTTGAGATTTTCGTGTGGTCCATGCAGACAGGCAGGCTCCTTGATGTAAGCACCCTGAGGGGCTGGGCTGGGGCTCAGGAGGGGCCCTCCTGTCTCCTGGGAGAGGAGCGCAGGGAGCTGAGGTTACACTCCGAGGGCCCATGCCCCTGGCCCAGAGCTGCCCAGAGAGCCGCCTCGGCCGCCACCTCCACTCTTCACGCCTCCTTGCTCTACGGTAGGTTTTGTCTGGACACGAAGGGCCCATCAGTGGTCTGTGTTTTAACCCAATGAAGTCCGTCCTGGCCAGTGCCTCCTGGGACAAGACAGTGCGCCTATGGGACATGTTTGACAGCTGGAGGACCAAGGAGACGCTGGCCCTGACCTCTGATGGTGAGCACGAGGCAGCAGGCAGGAGCAGCGGCCTGGGGACCAGCAGCATGCTGTCACACCCACTGCCCTGTTCCTCGTTGTGGGTTTGGTGTGAACCTTCTGGTGGGAAGCAGGGGGTGGCTTTTATCCAGACCTGCTGGTGTGGCAGCCCTTGAGGTTGGCAGTACCTAGGAGACAGCAGATTGGCGAGTCAGGCCAGCGTGGCTTCCACAAGTCCTTGTGGGGCTCCCGCTCTGTGGGCAAGTACGCCAGGCAGGAGAGAACAGCTCCCCGAGGGTGAAGGGCTGCTGCCGCAGCTGCTTCCTGATTTTCGGAGTTGCTTTGGAGCTCTGCCAGGGCTGTGTCACTGGGAGAAGGACACAGGGACCATGGGGGGCCCAGACGCTGGATGCGGCCAGTCCCGGAATCTGCAGACTGGGAGAAGGATGAGGGGGCCATAGGTGGGCCCGGAAGCCAGATGCGGCTGCCCAGGGATCTGCAGACTGGCCTCAGGCCACTGCCTGTCTTTCTGACGGGGCTGTACTAGAGGCAGCCGTGGCCTCCTGTGTTCATATGGTCTGTGGCTGTCAATGCCTCAGCGGCGGTGTTGAAAGACCACGTGGCTCACAAAGACCCAGCCCATCCATGTCCGGGTGTGGACAGACTCTGCCATCCCAGGAGGCTGGTTCTCTCTGCTTCCCGCTGCCTCACCCCACCCCCAGGCCTGGCATTGGCCAGGCTTTTGGCATCACATGTGGCTTCTTTGCAGAGGCTCTGTATTCTAGTCTGTCCAGCCGCCCTCAGTAACCACCATCACTCACCCATCAGCCTCACCTTCCCAGCGCCCCCTCCATCGGCCTTTGTGGGTCCTGTGGCCCCAGCTGGACCGCCTGGTGCTCTTCACTGGCGCTGAGTTGTTCCTCACCTGTCTGGG
The DNA here is from genome assembly GCF_000001405.40 of Homo sapiens. NCBI lineage: Eukaryota > Metazoa > Chordata > Mammalia > Primates > Hominidae > Homo > Homo sapiens. Next base: position 44,122,016 of record NC_000021.9, read on the forward strand.
TTGGAGCTTCTCCTGGGAGGAGATTCTTGTGTACCAGACCAAACAGGCGCTGGTCTCTTAGGGGTGCCAGGGCACGGCCTGGTCTCCAGCCAAGGGTGGTTGGTGGCCTGCCTGCGGGAGACTGGGGTCTTCGTTGGGCCTTACTTTGCATCTCTGTTTAGCTCTGGCTGTGACTTTTCGCCCTGATGGTGCGGAGCTGGCTGTGGCCACACTGAACTCACAGATCACCTTCTGGGACCCTGAGAACGCGGTGCAGACGGGCTCCATTGAGGGCAGGCATGACCTCAAGACTGGCAGGAAGGAGCTGGACAAGATTACAGCCAAGCACGCGGCCAAGGGGAAGTGAGTGTCAGCATCGGGCCTCCTGATTTGAGACCCCAGCCAGCCACCAGGCTCCTGCAGCTTCTCCATTTTTGGCCTTGTTCTTTGTTCCTGAGACCGCTGAGTCCCTGTGGGTGGAGGCAGGTGGTCCTGAGCCCTCTGGGGAGAGTCCATGTCCTCCTTAACTCCTGGGATCGCACAGCCCCCAGCACAGGAGGACGTCTGGATTTACTGAACATAAACTTGTTCAGCTGAGAGCTTGCATCCACTTCCAAACCTTGATCCTGAATTATGACATCGTCCTGGTGTGCAGAGGGGAGAGCAGCCGGGTGCCCGAGCTCACACTGGAGACCTGGCACTTGGGGAGGCTGAGGCGGGTGGTTTGCTTGAGCCCAGAAGTTTGAGACCAGCCTGGGCTACGTGGCAAAATGCCATCTCTACAAAAAGTAGAAAAATTAGCCAGGTGTGGTGGCACATGTCTGTGGTCCTAGCTAGTCGGGAAGCTGAGGCAGGAGGATCGCTTGAACCCGGGAGGTCAAGGCTGTAGTGAGGATGGCGTCATGCCATTGCACTCCAGCCTGGGTGCTAGAGCAAGACCCTGTCTCAAAAACAAAACAAACAAAAGCAGAAAACAGCCCTGGCAGCCTCCTAAGAGTAAAAATGCAGGTCCTCAGTCACCTCACTTGACTAGAGAGTGCTACGTGGATGGTGAAGACATAGTGTCCCCTTGTCTCAAGGAGTCGGGCCAGCACAGCACTGACCAAATTGCCTGCGCGGGGTCCTGGCTGGGCTGTGAGGCTCAACTGGGTGGGGGTCAGGCTTAGGAGAAGGGGGAGGATCTGTGGGATGTGCCCGGGGTGGGTGGCCTTGGGGGCTGGACCTGTGTCCCAGGAGCTCAGAACCTGTTCAGCAGAAGGTCTTCCTCCAGAAAGAAGTAGCGACCCTGTCTTGGAAGTGGTATGAATGCCTGTGTGCAGTCCTCATGGGTTCGCCCTGAGTGTGGAACTGCTGGGTGCTGGTGGTTCTGTTTCCAGCTTGGAGGAGCTGCACGGTTGCCATTCCCACGAGGAACGCTGTCGGCTTCTGGCTTCTCCACCTCCTCGCCAGCACTTGTTGCTTTATTATTATTATTTTTTTAATGAGAGCTGTTGGGGTGGATGTGAATTCGTATCTCATTGTAGTTGTGATTGTGGTTTCTCTAGTGACATTCAGCATTTTCTGTCTGCGGCTTGGCCGTTTGTAAGTCTTCTTTGGAGAAGTGTCTGTTCAGGTCTCTTGCCTGTTTTTGAATTGGGTTGTTTGGATTTTGGTTGTGGATTTTAGGGGTTTCTCTGATACCTGATGTGCAGATATTTGTTCCGCTTTGTGAACTGTCTTTCCACCGTTTTGGTGGCACTCTTAGTTCTGATGATGTCCACTTTGCTCATTTTTTCTGTTGTTCTTTGTTCTCTACTGTCATAACTAAGGGACCTTGCCCACCCCGAGGCGTCTGTTGAGCGGGGTGGTAAGGGCTGGTTTCTGGTTTCTGCAGGACTAAGCAGACGTGACTGAGAGTAGGCTGCTTAGGGTGGAGGCCGACTGGTCGCCGTTTTGTGCTGACCTCAGCAGGGAACACTGTTCCTTGAGCCACTTGTTCCTTTTGTGAAAAAGACATTGATTCTCAGGAAGCGGAAGCATCTAAGGGTGGTGCTGGCTCAGAGCGGAACCAGGTGATGGCACCATTGGACATTGTGGGTTTTAAAAGTCTCGCGTGAGTTGAGGCAGCGAGCCTTGGCGAAAGTTGCTGAGGCTGGTGTTTGCTTCCTGGAGGGCTGGTATAGGATCTCCTCTATTTCCTAAGGTTAGTTTTTATTTTATTTATTTTTATTTTTATTTTTATTTTTGATTTTTGACACGGTCTCGCTCTTGTCACCCAGGCTAGAGTACAGGAGTGCAATCATGGCTCACTGCAGCCTCCAACCCCTGGGCTCAAGTGATCCTCCCACATCAGCCTCCTGAGTAGCTGGGACTACAGGCATGTGCCACCGCACCCTGTTAATTTTATTTTTTGTAGAAACAGGGTCTTGGTATATTGTCCAAGCTTGTCTTGAACTCCTGGACTCAAGCAATCTTCCCAACTCAGCCTCCCAAAGTGCTGAGATAACAGGCGGGAGCCACCATGCAGGCCTAAAGTTGGTTTTTAGGAGCCATACGCTGAGGTTTCCGTGGTGGCCACCGTAAGTCCATGTCTCCTCTCCACCCAGGGCCTTCACCGCCCTGTGCTACTCTGCAGACGGCCACAGCATCCTGGCGGGAGGCATGTCCAAGTTCGTGTGCATCTACCACGTCCGTGAGCAGATTCTCATGAAGAGGTTCGAGATCTCTTGCAACCTGTCTTTGGACGCCATGGAGGTGAGCCGCCAGCGCGGGGCCGGATGGATGTTGCTTCCAATGCAGGTGGAATGCGTCGGGCTCCTGCGTTCTGCACTCCTGGCTCCATGGGGCCTTGGGCACAGTTGTGGTGCTTGTCCTGTATCTAAGTGCACGGGCCCCTCACCTGCCCCAGCAGAGTCCGGCCGTGAAGCCAGCACCTGCCTCAGCTGTGTGTGGAGCCACGGTCCCCAACCCTTTTGGCATTTGGGACCGGTTTCGTGGAAGGCAATTTTTCCACAGACAGGGTTGGGGGGATTGATTTTGGGATGAAACTGTTTCACCTCAGATCAAGATCACCAGGCATTAGATTCTCAGAAGGAGGGTGCAACCTAGATCCCTCACGTGTCGTTCACAATAGGGTTCGCACTCCTGTGAGAATCTAATGCTGCCACTGATCTGTCAGGAGGCGGAGCTCAGGTGGTGATGCGAGCAATGGGGAGCGGCTGTAAATTCAGATGAAGCTTCACTCATTCACCTGCCCACCACTCACCTCCTGCCGTGCAGCCTGTTTCCTAACAGACCATGGGCCAGTACCAGGGGTTGGGAACCACTGCTGTGGATGACCCTGCCGAGGCTGGTTGCTAGGAGGCTGGAGCTGTGAGGGGCAGTGCCCAGCACACGCTGGCTCAGGAGACACGGACATCTGTCAGGGAAGGAGTGAACGAAGAGGGTGCTGGTAGGCCCTGCCCGATGGCTTCCTGCCCGGGGTCCTGTGTACAAGGCTCTGCCTTCACTGTCCCCACTGGTGCCTGCCCTTCCCCCTCAGCACAGCCCTCGGCTCAGGTCCCACTCACATGCTGGCTCCTGCAGGACCTCAGAATGAGAGTGAGGAAGCCCTGGTAGCCTCTAAGCAGGGGTGTGGCTGCTGGGTTCACCTGTCCACGCCCCATCGGGGCAGAAGCCCACTGTCCCCTAAATGTTTCTGGGGGAAAGTGTCCTTGGCATTTTCACAAGGGAGTAGACGGCCATCCTCGCTGTGAGCCCCAGCCTTTGTGATGGTGGCAGCAATGCCAGCATGTAGACCTCAGTCCATCCCCCTCCGCAGCCTCCGCACCTGCCCTGCTCCACAGCTTCCACACCCACCCTGTCTGCAGCTAGCTCTGCAGGAAGAGTCCCTGGGGCACTGCAGGGCTCTCTCCCCGTCCTTGTTCTAGACAGGGCTGAGGCTTGTCTGGTGTTGGGGTCAAAGAGCAAGGGTAGGAGACGAGGGCCAGGCGGCCAGGCCATCAGAAGCAAGGCGTCCACTGCTTTTGCTGTTCTAGGAATTTTTGAACCGAAGAAAAATGACAGAGTTTGGCAACCTGGCACTAATTGATCAGGATGCTGGGCAGGAGGATGGAGTCGCGATACCACTGCCAGGCGTCAGGAAAGGTGAGCAGAGGTTCCTCCCGCATCTGCCCACCACTCACCGGTCCTGGGTGACCACGCATTCATGCCCCTGGTTGGGGCTGCAGTGTGTGGAAATAACAGTTACTACATGGTGACATTTGCTGGACACTGGGGGTGTCAAAGGCCCAGTGGGTTGGTGCTGGTGCCGTCAGCCCCTGGGCAGGAGAAGCTGCCCATGTGTTGCTACACGTGGCCTCCCTGCCCTGGCGGGACCCGTCCATTTGCTCTTGGGACTGGGTGCCCCGTCTGCTGCACAGCACACGGAGCATTCTGGCGTGAGGCCATGTGCGCCGCACAGAGAGCCAGGTGCTCTAGAAGATCTGGGTCCCAGGTAGACCATCCTGATGGGACACTCGCCAGCCAGAAACCCTGAGTGCTTCCATATGCAGGCCCAGGGTACCGTGTTGAGCACAGCAGACCCACTCCTGGGCTGGGCTGGGGCCCTTTTCTGGGTTGGACACACAGTCTGCTGGCCGGGCTGGCTTTTTTGAGCATCTGCCCCATGGGCTGGGCCATCTGTTTGGCAGCTCACCCGGAACAGCCTCCGCGGCCCCAGCACGGGCCCACCTGCCGCAGCTGCAGCGAGGGAAGGGCTGCTTCTGCCTCCGCTTTGTGCAGGACCCAATGAGTAGAGGCTGCTGCTCTTGATGGGGCTCCCACAGCACCCCCCAGCCAGCCGGGAGACCGCAGGATGACTTGCTTCGTGGGGAGAGCAGCCTGGATATGCTGTCCAGTGATCATTAACGGTTCTTTTTTCCCCAGGTGACATGAGTTCTCGGCACTTCAAACCTGAGATCAGGGTGACCTCACTCCGCTTCTCTCCCACTGGTGAGCACTGAGCCATGGGCTTTTGGTGCCGGTGGGCACTGGGGCATCTGTGCCATAGCAAGGCTGGCCACCATGGAGCTGTCTGCAGGCTCTGGGCTGTGCCCTGTGCCCCTGGGTAAGAACATGGCCCTGCAAACCCTGCAGGCCACAAGATGGCTGTTGTCCCTGAGGATGGATGGCTGTCACGGTGCCAACCTCAGATGCACTGAGCTTTGAAACATGGCAGGCCTGGTATGCCCTTGCTCTAGCAGCTCCCCGAGTGCCCTGGACGTGCTGCCTGGGGGCGGCTCTGCCATCACGGAGAGCCCGTCTCCTGCGCACTGCCCCCATCCTCTCGCAGTGGGGAGGAGGGTCTGTGCCACAGGCCTGTGGAGCCTGGCGGTGCACATGGTCCCCACACAGAGGAGCCAGGAGCAGGGCTATTGGCAAGCGTGCTCCAGCCTAGACTGAGTGTCAGAGCCAGGGGCAGAGAGGCCCATGTGAGCCAGGGGTCTGTGCCCTCGGGCCCAAGGGCCAAATCTGGCTGGCCACCTGCTTTGGTCACTGATGTTTTACTGGGACATTTTACTGGGCGTTTTTTTGTTGGCGGATCCTTCTGGCTGTCTCTAGTGATCCGTGCAGCACTGAGTAGGTGCAGCAGAGACCACAGGGCCTGCGGAGCTGAAGACGCCTGAGCTAGACAGAAGACTTGGCTGGCTCCCGGCGTCAAGAGAGGAGGACGCATGCGTGTACATATTTGCTTATATGTGCATCCCTGGGAGAGTAACTTCTGGGATGATCCATTCATTCCTTCCCAGGGGAGTAGTGGGGTGGGGGCTAGAGGCAGACGTCCCGGTTCCTCCTGATTTTTGCACTTTGTCCCAGGGGAATGTACTTAATACTGTTTCTTTAAAAAAAAAAAAAAAGAAAAAAAATGTTGGGAGGAATGAGCTTAAATTTTTAGGAAAGCACTGCTTAATTTCCCAGGGCGCTGCTGGGCGGCCACCACCACGGAGGGACTCCTCATCTACTCCCTGGACACCCGCGTGCTCTTTGACCCGTTTGAGCTGGACACCAGCGTCACCCCCGGGAGGGTGCGCGAGGCACTGCGCCAGCAGGACTTCACCAGGGCCATCCTCATGGCCCTCCGGCTCAACGAGAGCAAACTGGTGCAGGAGGCCCTGGAGGCGGTGCCCAGGGGCGAGAGTGAGTTGGGGCTTCGGTGTCGGGCGCCGGGGTCATCCTCTCTTCCCCTGGTTTGAGTTGGTGGCAGAATAAGCATGATTTTTTCTCCTTTTGCAGTTGAAGTGGTCACCTCCTCCCTTCCTGAACTGTATGTGGAGAAAGTGCTGGAGTTTTTAGCTTCCTCCTTTGAAGTGTCTCGCCACCTGGAATTCTACCTCCTCTGGACTCACAAACTGCTCATGTTGCACGGACAGAAGCTGAAGTCCAGGTAGAGGGTCTCCCCCGCAGTTCATCGGTGGCTCAGGTCACTGGACCAGCTTGTCCTGCTGGATAAAAGGGAACTTTGACATGCCAATGCAGCATGAAGTGAGCCCACTGTACCACGGGGTGAGCCCCGCACGCTTAGGGAGTCTCCCTTTCAGAGCCGGGACGCTGCTGCCTGTCATTCAGTTCCTCCAGAAGAGCATCCAGCGGCACCTGGACGACCTGTCGAAACTGTACGTGTGGGTGCAGGGCCTGGGGGTGGGTGGGGTGCACGGTCCCCTGCTGGTCCACACTGTGGAGTGCTCCTTGTGTCATCTGATTTGAGGACAAAAGGAACCAGTGCTGGAGGCTTGTCTTCTCACCTGCGGGTGAACTGCACCTGCCCGGCCACCCCGTGGTTGAGCAGCTTGGGAAATGGCCTGGCGCTGAATGGAAAGCAGTGAGCACTGTGGCAGGCAGACAGGCTGCAGGTGGCGCGCTCCAGGTGCGGCCGGAATCCTCCAGGCTCTTGGAGGGATTGCCGCATTCGTAGGACCAGGCAGCCTTTCCTGAATTTGCAGGTCACTTGCACAGGCAGTGGGGGTGGTCACAGGACTGTGAGGCCAGGCAGCCTGGAGTCCTGGAGGTGTGGCTGCCCTGAGCTGTGGCTCCCCTAGAAAAGGGTGCTGTTGCTGCTGCTGCGAGGATTCATCCGCGGGCCTAGGACAGGGCCTGGCCCTCCGCAGTGCTCACTCTGCAGGGGTGCCCGCCTCTTCTCCTGTCATTTCTTTGTGGTTTGTGCCTTTTTTGTCCCTACCAATTCACCTTCCCTAAAGGTCCTGCAGAGCCGGGACTAGGCAGGCCTCAGAGTAGCCATGTGAGGGATATCACCCTCTGTTGCCAATCAGTTGCCGGGTTTCCCAGCTGCGTTTCTGAACGGTCTGTTCTCTGTCCTGTTTGCGAGTTGCTCTGTCCAGGGTTCAGGGGCAGAGCCTGAGTTTGGGCCTTGTGGGTTCATGTGGTCCTCCTGTCTGTCCTTGAAGTGTCACTCAGTCTTTGGAAAGAGTCCTGGAGTCCAGGTCGAGCCTGTCCTCCCCTCGTGTTCTGGGTGCCCTACAGAAGGCTGGGATGTGCCCTGATCCACAGTTTTGGTGCCAGGCCTTCCCTCGGCTGAGATGTCCTGGACTTTTCACAGAGCTCTGTAGGGGAGGAGGGTTGTCTAGCTCCCTTATTTATGTATTTATTTATTTTTTAATTCATTATTATTATTATTATTATTTGAGATGAAGTCTCGCTCTGTTGCTTAGGCTGGAGTGCAGTGGCGTGATCTCGGCACATTGCAACCTCTGCCTCCCAGGTTCAAGCAATTCTCCTGCCTCAGCCTCCCAAGTAGCTGTGGTTACAGGCACACGCCACCACCCCCAGCTAATTTTTGTATTTTTAGTAGAGACAGGGTTTCACCTTGTTGGCCAGGCTGGTCTGAAACTCCTGACCTCAGGTGATCTGCCTGCCTCTGCCTCTCAAACAAAGTGCTGGGATTATAGGTATGAGCCACCATACCCGGCCCAGCTCCTTTAGATTTATTCCCTCTTATGGGATGTTTTTAGAGTTCACGTAAGTGCATTGTTCCTTGGACCTCCTGTCTAGGCGTTCACTGCCAATCTGTAGGGTTGCCATTGGCTGTCAGGAAGAGTCCTGCACAGAGGGTCCTGTGCCCTGCAGATGCGATGGGGCGCTTCCTTCCTTTCTCATCCATTTATCTTTCAGTTCTCCTTTCCTATGTAAAGTGATGGTGGCATCACTTTTCTCCTTTATTCCATTAACTCAGAAAATTAACTGATTCAGAGCGTGCCTTCCTCCCCTCTCGCTCCACAACACCACATAGCTCTGCAGCGGTCTCTTCCTAAGTGTTTGGTGGAACTTGCTGGTGAAGCCATCTAGATTGGGCCCAGCGGAAGGGCTGAGCTGCCAGGATGACCCCAAAGGGATGGGATGTTACAGTTGGGTCCTTGGGTCCTTGAAGGCCTTTGCTGCCCCAGGGCTGGATGGGGCAGAACCAGATTGTTGGGGCAGGGAAAAGAGGAAAAAAATGGCTGCTGGGGTGGAGGAACCGGCATGTCCAGCCCCTGCTGCTTTTCTCAGGGGTCACAGAGGAGGTGGTTGGGTGCAGGACAGGCCAGGGCCTGGGCGTTGCTGGCATTGACCATCCCTGTGTGATTGACAGCTGTAGCTGGAACCACTATAACATGCAGTACGCACTAGCAGTTTCCAAGCAGCGGGGCACAAAACGCTCCCTAGACCCGCTGGGAAGTGAGGAGGAGGCAGAAGCATCTGAAGATGACAGCCTGCATCTGCTTGGAGGAGGAGGCAGAGACTCAGAAGAAGAGATGCTGGCCTAGAGCCAGCCGGTTGCAGCGTTGGATTGTGCCGGCTAAGACCTGCCAGGGAGATGGGACCCTTGTGCCACCTGGGCCAGCAAAGAGGAGGGGTCCAGAGAACAGCTGAAATACTGTCACTAGTGGTAGTGACTTGCTTTTCCTGTGCACACATGTAGCCCATCAGGACAGCGAGCCGACGGGTCACGCCAGGGGCCGGCACGCACTGGCACCTGGCCCCAGGAGCGGGGCCGTGTGAACGGTGATGAATGTTGAAAATGCGTCTCAGAGAGGTATTCACATGAACTTTGTATGAGACTTATTTATATCTTTAACATAAAGGTTTGATAAAGAACTTAGGGATTAAAAAAAAGATGGAGTTTTCTAACGTGAGGATGAAGTCTACACTTCAGATTAAAAAGGGTTATGTTGTATCCTGCTGTCTTGTGGGGGCTCAAGACCTGCCTGCCTTACCACCAGGGCCTCCGTCCTGGGGAAGCAGGCTGACAGAGCAGGGTGCTCCTGCTGTCTAGCGGGGGCTCTGCCTTGTGACCTGTGCATATCCTTGGGGTCAGGGGCACAGAGCCTCTCCCTGACCTCTTGGGGATGCTTTGGAGTCTGGGGCTGGGATTGGCCTGTCTTGGTGAGCTCACTCAGACCTGCACCAGCTCTGCGTGGGCCACACGGAGGAGGAGACAGCTCCTCCCCTCTGCAGTGCCCTTGGGAATAGTCATCATGAGAGAGGCTTGGGTCTCCATCATGGTAGGGCATCCTGGTCCCCACAGCTCAGTAACAGCAGCCTCCAGGGTCAGGACCTGAGGCTGACACTGAGGTGGGCACTTCACCGACTGCCAGTGCTGTCTGCCAGGCCCAGCCTGTCCCTCGCCAGCGGTGTGGCCCCCAAGACCCTGGGTAGTACCTGGCTCCCTTGCTTATCTGGGAAGTGGAGCTGATATCTGCCTGCCGGCCTCCCGGGGGTGGCGTGAGGCCAGATGTGCTAGAGAGTGGAGATGAATACGACAGGCAGTGCCTTGTGGCCCACAGCACTGTACCTGCAGGCCTGCAGACCAGAGGTCTTTGTAGAAGGGAGGAGCTCAGGCCCTGATGACACCAGGTGTTCTGTGGCTGCACAATCTCCGTGACCCAGACGAGAGAGAATCCTTAGCTATCGCCTACCCAAAGCACAAGTTCCAGTGTTCCCCTCCCTTGCCTCGCCCTTTTCCGTGAAACAATTTCCAGCGTTCCCCCTCCTCGCCTCACCCTTTTCTGTGTCACATGTGCATGGCGATGGACACCTGAGTAGTCGCCCCTGGGACAACTGGAGCTGCGGCTCTGCAGTGGGGTCTGGGAGCTCCCGGCCAGGGGCAGCTCCCGCACACTTGGTAGAGACAGGGTCCTGGCCCCCACACCGACTGAGTGAGAGTCTGCATTCGGCATTTCCTTTCTGAGTGGCGCTTGGTGTTTTTTTGTGCCATCCCACAACCCCATCGCTCCCACCAGCTGATGCTCCCTGGCTGGCCGCTCCCCAGGAGCTGAGAAGCCTGAAGAGGGCCAGGCACGGAGGAGCAGGAACGAGGACAGTCAAATGTGCCAAGCTTGTCTTTGGTTGTAACTGGTAATGTCCCATGTCTGTTATTCTAGTTCCCCACTATCTTGCAAGGATTGGCAGTAAAGTCCTAGTGATGGACAACGCGGCAGTGGGGAAAGTGACAGCCGTGGCTAGATCATCAGATGTGTCTGTAGAATCCGGTGTGTCCCTGTGAACATCCGCCAGCAGTAACCATTCACATTATTTCAAAAACCTGCATTATTAGGTTGAAAATGGGTAAATCGGGGAAAAAGCCAGCACTTATCCAGCTATTCCTCTGTGAACTAACCCATGCATAACAAACAGATTTTTTTAATGGAAGAATTCCAGCTAGGACCCGAGCAGCTGGGATCTTCACACTGACCGTCCATGCTGTGAACGTAAAAAACAAAAACAAAAAAACAAACCCAAACAGCGCCCGGGAATGGTGGCTCACGCCTGTAATCCCAGCACTTTGGGAGTCCGAGGCGGGCAGATCACCTGAGCTCGGGAGTTCAAGACCAGCCAGACCAACATGGAGAAACCCCGTCTCTACTAAAAATACAAAATTAGCCTGGCGTGGTGGCGCATGCCTGTAGTCCCAGCTACTTGGGAGGCTGAGGCAGAAGAGTCGCTTGAACCTGGGAGGCGGAGGTTGCGTTGAGCCGACTTCGCGCCATTGCACTCCAGCCCGGGCAACAAGAGGGAAACTCCGTCTCAAAAAAAAAAAAAAAAAAACCCAAACAGAATCGGCGGCTCACTTGCCCCCAGACTAACCCAGATCAAGCCCCTGGGTGGAACTGCAGTTTCCAGGATACAACATCCCGGGGTCAGTAAAACCCGGAGGGGTCGCTCCGTGGGAGCCGGAGCCGCGAGGAGACAGTCATGGAAGCGGAGGGGTAGTCCTGACCCCGCGTGGGTCCTGACGCCGAGATTAAGACGAGTGGCCATTTAGGAGGATGTGGACCCTGGACGCTCGTGGTGAGTTAAGGATGAGACGGAGGTAAGGTAAGAAGCGCCGGACTGAGCCGCCCCGAGGCAGCCTTGCTCTGCGGATGGCGGAAAGGGTGCGCCGCCTGTGGAGGCGTCCGATGGGGGCGGGGCTGGGGACCCCGGGAGTCACCAGCATCCCTCAGCCTCGAGCACGAGCCCTCAGCCACCACCGGAAGGAAGACAGGGTTCCCGGAACTCTATTCGGAGGCTCTGCGCAGGCGCGGCCCCCGCCCACCGGCGAACTCACTGGATAGGGCTGAGACGGGGGCGGGTCTTGGCTCCGCCCAGAAGGCTGCGCAGGCGCAGTCCCGACGAGCAACGCGTTTGTAGAGGGGTGGGTGCGCACGCTCTGTCCCTGCGTGACCTTCCGACCCCGCTGTCCTCACCGCAATGGCGGCTGTGAGGGTCCTGGTGGCCTCGAGGCTCGCTGCGGCATCTGCATTCACGTCCCTGTCCCCCGGCGGTCGGACGCCTTCCCAGCGCGCAGCCCTTCACCTCTCCGTGCCGCGCCCCGCGGCCAGGGTCGCGCTGGTGAGTGGACGGAGGGGGTGAGGTCAGCTCCCGCCTCCAGAGATCAGCCTTCGCTGTTCTCTGCCCAAGGTCGGCCCCTCTTCCTAGGTCCGCTCCCGCCGCCCCACGTCGGCTCCTTCACCCCAAGTCAGCTCCTGCGGCCCAGGTCGGCCCCATTTTCCCGGGTCAGCGCCCGCGGCCCAGGTCGGCCCCTTTCCCCCCAGTCAACTCCCGCCGCCCAGGTCGGCCCCTTTCCCCCGGGTCAGCTCCCGCTCCTCTCGCAGGTGCTGTCTGGATGCGGAGTCTACGATGGGACCGAGATCCACGAGGCCTCGGCGTAAGTCCTCAGGGGCAGCTGGTCCTCCACCCCGGGGGCCTCGAGAAGGCCTCTCCACCAGTGAAGTTTACTCTTTTTTGAACAGCTTAGAGAAAGCATGTATTTTATTTTATTTTTACTTTTTGTCTTTTGAGACAGCGCCCAGTCTGGAGTGCAATGGCGCGATCTTGGCTCACTGCGGCCTCCGCCTCCTGGGTTCAAGCGATTCTCCTGCCTCAGCCTTCCGAGTAGCTGGGACTACAAGCATGCACCACCACACCCAACTAATTTGTGTATTTTTGGTAGATACGGAGTTTCACCATGTTGGCCAGGCTGGTCTCAAACTCCTGACCTCAAGTGATCCTCCCGCTTTGGCCTCCCAAAGTGCTGGGATTACAGGCATGAGCCACTGCACCCGGCCGAGAGAGCTTGTATTTTAAATACCCTATTCTTGGCTAAAAAAAAGCAAAAACGACTTGCAAAACCCAGGGAGACGCTAAGAAAGAACAGTTTTTAAGTGTCGCTTATGCTGTCACCTAGAGCCTAGAAATGACTTAGCATTTCACTTGAGTGTTTTTCAGGACACACACATTTTGAAAACACTGAGATCACACTCACCCGTGTTTTGCAAATGTTTCTGACGCATGGGAAGTAATTCCCATTCATTCAGTTCTCAACATCATTTTAACAGTTGCGTGGTATTTCTGGGTCCTAGACAGGTTACTGTTTACGTAACTGGTCAGCTGTTGCTGAGTGCTTGGTGGCCTGATTTCCTGTGCTACTGGAAATGACTGCAGGCCGAACCAGTAGGGCAGGAGGCCACCACGCGTGCCAGGTACCTGTAGTTCCCATGTGGTTCAGGGTGAACTGGAGAGGGGAGAGCTGGGTGGTGGCGAAAGGGGTGTCAGGCCATGGAGAGTGGCCTGAGGCTGGTGGCTTTGTGGGTGGCCCACCTTGGCTGGTTGGAGTTGGCACTAGGCAGAGTGAGCTGGGGGAAAGGGCCAGGATGTGTTTCATGATTTGGCCTTGGTGGGATAGAAAATAGCCCCAGAATAGCTTGAGCCCTCCCAGGCAGAACGGCAGGGTCTTGTGTCTGGGGTGTCTGGGTGGATTTCTTATGGGTAGCGGAACCCAAGTGCCAGGGCCAGGTGCTGACCTCTCCCTCTGGCAAGTCACTGCACTTCATGCCTCGGTTTCCTCCTCCACGTAAGGGGCAGTGAGGGCTTAGTGTGTGGGTGGGCTTAGCCACCTATCTCCTGTTGGCACTGGGAGTTGCGGATGCCAGCGTGAGCCCCCATAATGTCAGCTGTTGTCCCCAGGAGGAGCTTCTGTTGCCCTTGCCCTTGGGGAGATGGAGCTGCCTGGCCTGTGGTGTTGTCCTGGGGTCTCTTGTGTCTCTCCCACCATCTGTGATGGGAAAGTTGAGGGAGACTAGAAATTGAACTAAGTAGTGACCGAAAGCCCCGTCACACCGTCTGTGCACGTGGCACTCTGAGCACACTGCTGCTTCTCACTCTTGGTGCTTGCAGCAAGCAACTGGAGGAGGGCAGCCAGGCCCTGGGTGTAGGTAGAGCACTCAGCAGCCGGGGACCCGCACGCCTCCAGGCTGTGCCCTCAGTGGAGTCACCCGGCCCCCATACCCCAGTTTGCAAAGGGAGCTGTTGGGACCAGCTGATCTCCATAGCCCACTTCTGAGGGTTTGTCATAGTCGTAACCCACCAACCGACAGTGAATTGGAATGGGGGTGTGGGGGACGTTTGGCTTGGTATGGAACCAACTGTAACTTTTTGCAGAGCAAGTAAGATATTAATATACATTAGGAATTTGCTCCTGGTACTTAGCTAAAATCCTGTTTTTAAAAATGTGTTAACACAAATCTGAGTGGGGCACGTTTTGAAGAGTTGTCTCTGGTTTTCCCCCGTGCAGGATCCTGGTGCACCTGAGCCGTGGAGGGGCTGAAGTCCAGATCTTTGCTCCTGACGTCCCTCAGATGCACGTGATTGACCACACCAAGGGGCAGCCGTCCGAAGGCGAGAGCAGGTGTGGGGGTGGGATTGGAACTTGCTTCTTGTCTACCTCCCACGGTGCAGCCTTTTTTTGCTGGCTTAGCTTAAACCAAGTCTTGTGTGCAAATGAACGTCCTTCTGAGCAGCTGTGCTCGGGCTGTTCCAGAAGTAATGCTGCCAAGGCTCAGGAGTGCCTTCCTTCCAGTACTCACAGAAGGACTGAAAATGGCGACCGGATCGCTTCCCACTGAGTCAGGCTGCTCATACCTTGGTCTTAAGCAAAGGTGGTGGTTCTCAGCTTGGTCGCCCACCTTCTTCCCCTGTCTGGGCTCCAGATCTGTTTTGCTGGTTCCCAGCAGCATGTCTGTTACTGCGGTGTGTGTGGTTCTGGCCTGTGTGGCCTGAGATCCCCTTCCCTTGCCTGTCCTGCCTGACAGCCCTGTGCAGGCCATTCCAAGGTGCCTTCCAACTGGCCTCGGACCACGAGAGGTCGGAGCTGGAGATTCGAGGAAGAAGCCATAGCTGCCTCCTGGGGCTGTGCTTCTCACCAGTGGGGACCCCTGTGATTTCTTTTCCTGCCTGGGACCCTGGCTTCTGCACCTGGACTTGCACCTTCGGCCCCCACACCTGGGGGCTAGCAGCTTCCTGCGGTGGCTGGCCTTCGGGTTGCTTCACTGGTCCTGAGTCCTGGCTTCTTACCTTCCCCTCTGAGTCCCACCGTCCTGATGAGTGCACAGAATTCTGTCTGCTTTAGACACTCGGAGAGACTTCCATTTCCCATGGGCCTTGACTGCAGAAGATTCAGAGTGATTTGGCGCAGGTTCTGAAGTGCTGATCGGAAGAGCCCAGCATAGATTTAGCGTTGCTAGAACCATGTTGTCTTTCCAGGTAGTGACCAAACATGCTGACCTGGAAGTAAGTCCCCGTGTGGCTGAGAGCCACGTGTGTGGAGCGTGTTGCCTGTGGGCTGTGCCCCTGCCGCGCTCCACAGTCCTTCACCTGCATGCTGAGGCTTTTTGCCCTGTGCTCTTTCCCAGGAATGTTTTGACCGAGTCTGCGAGGATCGCCCGTGGCAAAATCACAGACCTGGCCAACCTCAGTGCAGCCAACCATGATGCTGCCATCTTTCCAGGAGGCTTTGGAGCGGCTAAAAACCTGTGCGTATTTGAGCTCCAAGGTCTTCCGCTTTCCATGTGGAGCAGATGGGAAGGGGGTGCACCTGTCTGCTGTCCAATGTGGTCAGTGGAGCGGCGATGGGAGGGGGTGGTGATAGGAGCAGTCTCTGGGTTTAGGGTCTGGGCAGGGCACGTGCCTGCCCTCTGACTTGGGAGCTGTTCTTAGGGTTGGGTCTTAGGTAGCGTTGTAGCGAGCCATGCTTTTGTTTCTGCTTCTCTGCTGCCTCTTCTCTCAGCATTCCTGGTACCCAGCAGCTTGTCAGAGTGGGTTTGGGGCTCCCTCTTATCTCATCACTGTGCTGTAGGTCTCGTCACGTTGAAATCAGTCTCTGAGTATTTACTCCTTGCAAGTGCCAGTTTTTTTTCTCTCTCTCTCTCTTTTTTTTTTTTTTTTTCTGTAGAGATGAGGTCTTGGTCTGTTGCCCAGGCAGGGATGCAGTGGCACGATCCTAGTTCACTGCAGCCATGATCTCCTGGGCTCAAGCCATCCTCCAGCCTCATCCTCCTGAGTAGCCGAGACTATAGGCGCATGTCACCATGCCCATGGTTTTGTTTTTTTTTTTTTTTGGCCATGTATGTAGCCCAAATTGGTCTGGAACTTCTGGGCTCGAGTAACCCTCCTGCCTCCCAAAGTGCTGGGATTCCAGGCCTGAGCCACCGCGCCTGGCCCCAATTCTCTTATGGAACCTTGCAGGATCAGAAATGGGTTTCCTTCTTGGTAGTTTGGGCGGCGGTCCTGACAGGAAGAAGGGAGGCCGCCTTGGCGTGGCTGTTTTGGTAGCTGGACCGTGAATCATGGAGGCCTGGCTGGCTCCCACACGGTGGCGTCCTTGAGTTCCAGATCCTCTTTCTGTTCTCTGTGTCTCCTCTCTCTCTTTGCACATTCATGGAGGTTCTCTGGGCACCGCCCCCATGGCCCTGCCTGAGAGGTGGAGGTGGTGCCAGGCTGACCCTCCAGGGACAGCTCTGCCACCTGCAGGAGCACTGGCCACAGTGCATCGGAGCGTGCAGGTGGCTTCTGTGCCATGGTGTGGGTGGCAGCCCCAGCACGGCCGGCCCCGGTCGGCAGCTCCTGTTTCAAGGGCAGGTTGGAGGCTGGCTGGCCGCTTGCCCCACCCTGGGCAGCCTGCACCCAGAGTCGAGGGGTAGGCAGTCTCCATCCGAAGAATGCGCCCCTCCTTATCCCGAAACCTCAGAGGCCTCCTTCCTCAGATGCCAGCTGTTTTCTCAGTGCCCTTGGCCGTGCCCTCACCCCTCTCTCACCGGAAGCCCCACCCCAGCCTGTCGTCCCCGGTCTCCTGAAAGCCAGCAAGCCTCGTCGGTGCCGCCCACACCCCTGACCTCACGCAGCCCCACGTCAGGCTCGATCTTTTGTCCAGTTGTCCCTGCGTCGCTGCCGTCTCCACGAGGCTCTGACCACTGACACCGTGTGTGGCGGGGCGCAGGGGCAGCTGGAGGGTGTGCTGGGGGCTCCGTGCCCTGGCATGGCTCCTCCACATTTTGCCAACCCAGAGGCACAGGCGTGAGGTGTGTGGTGGTTCTCAGGGTCAGTGGGTCTTGGCCTTGGCTTTCAAGGTGTTGATGGGCCCTGGGACTGATGTGCCCGTGTGTCTGAGCCCACGTCCCCTGGGCGAAGCTCCCATTTTCACTGACCTGTCCAGAGCGTTCTGGGTGAGCCTGCCCTGCGTGTCCATGGTGCGGCGCGCTCTAATGAGCTGCAGCCGTGGCCACTCTGCACCCTCTGAGACAGTCACCCATGGGGACGGCGAACACCCACTGCCTCCAGAAGATTCCCAGCACTCTGCCAGCAAAGCCATGTGGAAAATGCTGGGGCAGAGGACTGGGGTGCGTGAGGGTGGCGTAGAGCCCAGGGGTGGGTTCGTGGGAAGGTGTGTCCACTTGTAGATTTGGTGGCATTGCCAGATCACACGCCCCATGGGCAGTGTGGAGAGACCTCCCCTGCCCCGCGTGCCCTCCACAGCTCCTGCTCCTCGGCCTGAGGTGTGGATGCTGGTGTCGCAGGTAAACTGGCGTTTCTTTCACGGTCATCGAAGCAAGAGTGCTTGGTATGCCTGGAGGCCGACTGCGTTTCTTTTTTTGGGAACTCCTGGAGTTTCCTGCTGCCCCTTTGTTTTAAGGAAAAACTCTCACACCGTGTTTCTCCTCCTCCCACCACAACAGTTGTCCACACAGAAGGTGGGTGTGAAGGGTCTTCCCCATGCACCACGCAGGGGTCGCTGCTGCCTTCTAATTCAGTTCCAACAGTATGGACCCGGGGTAGCGTCCGATCGCACGGGTTGAGGGCTCCGTCCCCAAAACTGCCCTCTGACACATACCGGTAAACTGTCTGAGCCTCTGGAACTGACCAATTGGCTTCAAGTTGGGGTTCCCACAACCCCGTTTGCTGGCGTGGCTCACAGTGCTCAGGGAAACATGACGTCAGCATTCTCCCCCGGGGAGTGGGGGACCCTCTCAGGAGAGGGTCCTGAGACCCACAGTCAGAAAGGCGGGGAACATTAGAGTCCTGCTTTGGGGCAGGTAAAGGGCAGGCGGGAAGGTCAGAGGCTGCCCGAGGCCCGACACAGCCAACGTCGTAACAGAAAGCTAACAAGCAGCACGGGAGTTAGGAGCCGGAAACCAGCGTCTGAGTCTCAGCACCGCAGCCCGGGTTCTGCCAGCTGCTCCGGAAGGTTCCAGGGCGTGGGCCCTCTCGCCCTGGTGGCCTCCTGCTGCACCACTTCCTGATCCTCCTGCTTCCTATGCTTATTTCTGTTTAAAAAACAGGAAAATATGTTCACATCAAACGCGCATATGTGCAGCCATGCCCATGTCCCTTGCTGCAGCTGACTGAGGGTCTGGAGCTGTGCCTAGGAAGCCCCCCAGGAATAGACCCTGGTTGTGAGGCTGTCTGAGGAGGCCTTTTGTCTCCCGGTAGGAGCACGTTTGCCGTGGACGGGAAAGATTGCAAGGTGAATAAAGAAGTGGAGCGTGTCCTGAAGGAGTTCCACCAGGCCGGGAAGCCCATCGGGTGTGTACAGCCGTGCAGGCCTCGGGGAGGGAGGGAGGAGGGTGCGTGGGCCCGCGGCCTCTGTTCTCAGCCAGGAGCTGCCGCTGATCCTGAAAACTCACAGCTGCTTTTCTTGTTTTAACTGAGGGGATTTCACACGATGTCACTGGTGACTTAACAGGAAGGAGAGGCACAGTGCACTTCCCTAGAGGAGGCCTGGAATTCTCTTGGCTCCCAGAGGTGTCCCTAGGCAGTCCCTCAGGACCCCTATCCTTTACCAGACCCCTTCTCCCAAGCCCCTTAGCCACAGTACCCCCAACCCCGCTGACTTCTGGCCAGTCACTGCAGCACGTGCTCCATCCCTGACGCCATCCACTCCCAGCGGCCTCCCTCCTGGGGAGCCACAGCCAACCACGCCCCTTTGTCCCTGCTCAGACAAAGCCTGGGTCCTGAGGTTGGCGGCACGAGTAGGGCGCCCACTCCTTCATCCACGTAAGCGCCTTGGCTTACGTGGCGGGTCGCAGCCCCGCAGGGAGTGTGTGCTCTTCAGCGTCTGCTGCCGGGAAGTCACTCTCAGATGTGTGAGGGTGACCCAGCAAGGCCGGGTTCCGCCTCGGCAGGTGTGATGCTTCCACGAGCCTCCCGGCACCTGCTCCTTGGTGGTCCTGGAACGCGGCGCTGTGCTGTCCAGGTCTCAGCTGCGTCTGGTGCTGGCAGGGCGAGAGCCGCACTTGCGTGGGTGAACATCAGTGAGGCGCACTCGCGATGGCCGCTCACTACCGAGTTCTGTCAGCCGAACAAGGATGAGGATCTATCGGAATCCTCTGTCTCCCCATCCACAGTCACTCACTTAAGGACCTGCCTGGTCACTGTCCAGGGAGGCCCCTAAAGTGGAGCCTCAGGAAGAGGTGCAGGCTCAGAGCTCCTGAAGGAGGTCCCTGCTGCAGCCGTGTCACAGCCGGGGTGAAGGTTTCGCCCATGGTCTCCACCTCGGGATCCCGTCCTTGTCAGAGAAGTGTTCCTTGGATGAGCGCCCAGAGGGAGGAGCCCATGGCCCTTTCTTCTGTGACTGATTAAAAATCTCGATGAAACAAGACAGCCCCTGGCAGGTGAACCACTG
This sequence comes from Homo sapiens, assembly GCF_000001405.40. Classification (NCBI taxonomy): domain Eukaryota; kingdom Metazoa; phylum Chordata; class Mammalia; order Primates; family Hominidae; genus Homo; species Homo sapiens. The sequence goes on from NC_000021.9 coordinate 44,141,442, forward strand.
CCTCTGAGCATGCCTCCCCTGAAAACAGTGTGGGGCGCAAGCCCATCTCCTCCCCAATCCAGCCATGAGGCTCCCCTGGAAACAGCACAGGGCGCAAGCCTGTCTCCTCCCCGGTCCAGCCATGAGGCTCCCCTGAAAACTGCAGGGCACAAGCCCGTCTGCTCCCCGGTCCAGCCATGGGGCTTCCGTGCACGGTGACCCACAGGCTTTTTTCCTGAGGAAACCTAAATCCTTTCCCACTGGCCCCACCCACCCCTCAGCCTGGTGTCAGAGGCCTGCGTGGCCAGCCAGGGGCTGTTAGGCGGCCCAGCCGCTCACTGCTGGGACCCCTTCCTTGAATGCAGTAGTCGAGGTGGGCGCTGGGCTGTGCCAGGAGCCACTGTGGCATCTGTAGCTGGCAGTTGATGGCTGGGCGGCTGCACGCAGCGTCGGGAGCTGCTGAGAACCTGCTTCCTGGACTTTCTGCCTGCGCAGAGGGCGGCAGGGGGGTTTCATCTCATAGGCAGCCAGAAGTTGCTTCAGGACATGCAGTTTTGGGGGCGGGTTTGTTTTGAGAGTATCGCTCTGTTGCCCAGGCTGGAGTGATCTTGGCTCACTGCAACCTCCGCCTCCCGGGGTCAAGCAATTCTCCTGCCTCAGCCTCCCAAGTAGCTGGGATTACAGGTGTCTGCCACCAGGCCGAACTTTTGTAATTTTAATAGAGACAAGTTTTCGCCATGTTAGTCAGGCTGGTCTCGAACTCCCGACCTCAGGTGTTCTGCCTGCCTCAGCTGCCCAAAGTGCTGGGATTACAGGCATGAGCCACTGCACCTGGCTGTGAAATGTGTTTTTAACAGTGTTTCGTTACAGCTCACGGTAGCAGTTTCCACCTGGGCCTGTCGGGAGTGGGTAGGACTGTAGACAGCGGGAGGAGGGATGAAGGGTGCGGGGTGTTGAGGGCAGGGTGGGGCCTGACAGCTGTGGGCTACACCACAGGTTGCCAGGGGATGGGGCTGCTGTTAATGAGGCCGTACTCCTTCCACTGTTGCCCCTGGGTGGCCATGAGGCGCTGGACGACACAGGTCACTGAAGGCCCTGCTGTGGGCACAGTGCCTGGCACACAGGGGCCTCTGTTGACTTGGCAGGGAGGGGTTCCTGATGAAGCAGAAGCAGGTCCCAGGGGTGGGTGTGGCAGGACCCTCAGTTTCAGGGCTGCTGCGGCCTGTGCGTCAGGGTCAGGGGCGTGCGTCCACCAGCCTGCACTTGTTGAGAGTTGTGCTGCAGGTCGGAGGCTGGCGAGGCTGCTCCTGGCCCGTTGTGCCTCCTGTAGAAGGGGGGCTGGTGTGAATGAGAAGTGCAGCTGTGTTATCTATTGCTGGGTCACAGACCACCCCACAACTCAGGGCTGGGGCAGCCGCACATCATTACCCTCTCTGTGAGTGGACTTTGGCAGCCCGGGACTCTCGCCAGTCTGGGGTGTCCTGGGGCTTGGGGCTTAGCCCATGGCTGTTGGGGGTTCCCCTCAGGGGTCCTTGGCCTGGTGCTTGAGTGCCTGCAGGGCGTGCTTGGCGGGGAGTGGGGCTGAGGACACCTCACTCTCAGCCTTGAGTCACCTGGTGCCACCTCCATCACATCCCATGGGCCACAGCCTTCTGGCAGCGCAGGCTCACAGGGGGCAGGGTCGGCAGGGCTCCCGTGGCAGGGCAGCCTGGGGTCATGGCGAGGGTAATTTCTGTTCTGCAGGCCATGCAGCCTGCCTGACCCGTGTTCTTTTCGCCTTTCAGCTTGTGCTGCATTGCACCTGTCCTCGCGGCCAAGGTGCTCAGAGGCGTCGAGGTGACTGTGGGCCACGAGCAGGAGGAAGGTGGCAAGTGGCCTTATGCCGGGACCGCAGAGGCCATCAAGGCCCTGGGTGCCAAGCACTGCGTGAAGGAAGTGGTCATATCCTTCCTGGTAGCCAGGCCCGGCCCGCTGTCGTGCTTGTCCCTGAGACGTGCATAGGGACGCCCCTCCCTCCGGGCTGTCTTGGTGGGTGGCCTCTTCACCGGGAGCTGCACCTGCTGCTCTCCCTGTGGGGCCTCCCCCAGTGGGCACCGCAGCCATGTGTCTAAGGGCAGAGAGCAGATGGCTGTGACAGCCCAGCTGGTGTGAGGTGGGTCACAGACACGTCAGAAGCGCAGCTCTGGTGCGTGGTTGGCAGATCTGGCAGATCCAGGTCCCTTGCCTGACTGTTTAGTCTGCTCAGCAACACCCAGGCAGCCACACTCCGGGCCCAGCGGGGGGAGGGTGAGGAAAGAGTGTGTGCGAGGTGTGGAGGGAGAGCAGCCGGGCGTGCAGGAGGCGGGGGCTTCCTGAGATGCTGGGGGAAAGCGGCCGGGTGTGCAGGAGAAGGGGCTTCCTGGCTTCATTTGGGCGGAAGTTCTCAGGCCAGTTTGGGTGGCCAGGTGATTCAGCCAGCCTTGCGGCCCCCAGCCCCTCCTGTTGAGGTGTGTACCCTGAGTTCTGAGATGATGGACCAAGAACACCAGCGGGGCTGTTGCCCAGGGAGATTTGGAGGGAGGCTCCTGGAAGGCCCTGCCTGGATCTGGGAGAATGTCCATGTGAGCCCAACTGAGAGAACAGAACACTCCGGGGTGCCGGAAGGCACTGGAATGAGTAGAGCATGGACCCGGTCCCCTGCAGGTGTTGTTCTGAAGGGTGCAGTTCCTCTCAATGGGGCAGCTTTTTTCTCACAGGCAGCTTCAGACGTCAGGCCCCATCTCCCTCCCTGCGGCTTTCCTGCTGGGCAGGAGCGCAGTGCAAGGCTGGCCCCAGGCCTCTGACTGCTTGCAGGAAGATAGGGGCACGTGTCTTGGGTGGTGTGGAGGCCTGGCCAGTGGTTACATGCATGGTGTTGGGGAGGCTCAGGTCTGTGGCTGGCCGGCCCCAGTTGTGCCACCTGCTGCCCTGTTGCCTGTTGCCCTGCCCCATGAGGACCGGCTCCTTCACGGCCAGTTCTTCATCTGAAAAGCGGAGGTGCTGCCACTGCCTCCCGTGGTGGTTGTGAGCACCCCAGGCATGTGTGCGCCCCCATGGCGGGGCAGCTCGTGGCCATGTGTGGGTGTTGGGCCTGTGTGATGCTGGCATGAAAGGTGCCCCGTTCCCTGGAATTTCCCGCTGCTTTCTTCCTCTAGAATGCATGTGAATTGGGAACAGGTTCCTTCTTATGTTGTTCAGCAGCATAAATCATACAGAAAGCAGGGTCCTGCCGGCACAGACTGCACCAGGAGCGAGTTCTCCTCTTCCAAGTTATCTGAGAACAAAGTTAGGACACGCGGTGAGGGTGGGGGAGGGGCCGGGGCTCCACACCTGAAAGTCCCTCAGGTCCGTGCTGGGTGGCTTTTTCCGTAACTCTGCACACGAAGCTCACGTGGACCAGAAAAACAAGGTGGTCACGACCCCAGCCTTCATGTGCGAGACGGCACTCCACTACATCCATGATGGGATCGGAGCCATGGTGAGGAAGGTGCTGGAACTCACTGGAAAGTGACGCGCATGGACGGGGCCCAGCTAGGCGCCAGGACTTGGCCTCACCCTCTGGCTGAGGAGCTGTCGGCTGCTTTCCATCCAGCTGGGAGTCTGGCAGGCCCTTTTTTTTTTTTCTTTGCCGAAACCTGCAGGCGTTCTCTCTCTAAGGAGGATGTGCTGCAGTGCATGGGGGATGTTTCTTCCTGGGTGTGGCTGGGCTGCTCTCACATACAGAGGCCGAGGGGCCAATTCGTTCTCTGCCACAGGGACTTGCCTCACTGTGTCCCAAAAACAAATCGCAGCCAGCTTTTCCAGAAATAGAAAATTCTGCCGTCTGAGGTTTTATACTTCAGGTTAGTTAGTTTTTGGAAGGAAGAACATTTTTAGGTTTGCAAGCCTCCTGATCAGGAAACCAGAAATACCACATTTATGGACCATGAAAGGTTGGTTCTTGACTCTGAAGGGACTTTTGAGTTAATCAGCGTAAGGGGATTTCTAAAGCAGGCAATCCCTGTAGCCGCAGAGAATAAACGCCTTCCCAAAATGGCAACTTCCCACAGCCACATTTCAGACCTGCTGAGACTGCTGAGTGAGGAATGGCAGTGAGGTTTCTTCAATTAGTCTCAGTTCTCTTAATTTTCAGGAAGAAAGGGAAATTGCAGCCCCTCAGCCCCCAGGATTGACCTCTGGGGAGTGATGGTAGCGTTGGTGCCAGGCCGTGGGTTCAGGTGTGGCAGAAGCTTGCAGATGCGTCCGAAGGGAAATAAAGTGTGTTGGCGTTAGACTTTGTGCTGCATTCATCTGTGTGTTCAGGGTTGTTTGGGGAAGAAAACATTTGGGGTGGGAGTCAGGTGTCTGCACGCTTCACTCAGTGTCACATATCTGTTGCTGTTTGGGTCTGTCTCTGCCTGAGCAGCCAGGGCCAGGCCAGCCTGAGAGGCCCCACGCTGGGTGGGTGGCAGGAGCTGCCCAGTGTTGGGTGGCGGTGTGGGAAACGCCCACTCTGGCTGCTGGCGTGGCTGTTCCGTGTGGTCTGGTTTGCACCTCCCTGTGTGTCAGGTGCTGGGCCCGGAATGGGGGTGCAGGCCCTGGTCCCACAAGACTCGAACCCTCAATTGCACTGGTACCCACCACACCCCCTCGGCCCTCCCCACCCACTGCATGGAATCAGCGGATTCATTCTACCGCCTTGAGAGGGCGTGGGGGGCCCATGGGTAAGGCAGGAAGGCCCCGGTGCACCCTGCATCGGGTCTCAGCCGGACACTTCTGGTTCTTCCTCCGTGGGAGCTGGGTTCTCCAGTGGCCTTCCTCCCACGGAGGCCGGGCCTCAGGAAGTCCTCACGGGCGCCCACGCCCGCTGCAAACGCCCACAGCACTCGCCTTGGGGCCAGGATTACCCTGTCCCCAGCAGCGGAGGAGCCTCCCATGTCCAGGGTAAGGTGGGGCTCCTCCCCTTTCTCATAGGCTGGTAGGGACACATTTTGCATGGCTGGAGGGGGGGTACCCGTATACCACGCATGTTTATTCACGTGTGTGTGAGTGTATGGAAAAGTGCACAAGTCACAAGCATTCACTTTGGGGTTTCCACAAAGCAAATACGCAAAACCATCGCTCGGGCCTGGAACGGTGGCACTGTCCCCAGAGCCTCTCAGCCTCCTGCAGGCACTGGCTGCGTGCTTGTTTGCGCGCTCTCTCTGAGGTGATCCAGTGTGGCGCCCCACACGCAGGTGCTTCTGCTGGGCCAGGCCTGTCCTCACCTGCATCTGCCCTTAGCCCAGGTGGCCCTGTGGGTCCTCAGTGTCCCCACTTGCAGATGAGGCTTTGCTCCCCCCAGGGCCCTGCAGCTTGTAGGGCTTGGCTGGGACTCAGCTCCGGGCAGCGCAGCACCAGAACCCCAGCCCTAGAAATAGATCTTGGGACGTTGGGAAGCCCAGAGAGGGGCCGTGACAGAACCGGAGAGCTTGGTCCTGGGTTCACTGCAGGAGAGTTTGGTCCTGGGTTCACTGGACAGTGACTCCGTGGCTGCTGCGTGCCAGGCACCTTCAGGTACCAAGGGCATTGTCACGAGCATGCCCTCGTCCTGGAGTTCAGGTGGGGGCAGCCAGTATGTGGCCCGGTGAGCCATGGAGTCCCCCTGGCAGTGGTGGGGGTGTGGACATGCTGGGAAGGAGGATGGCAGTGCCAGGCATGCATAAAGTGATCAAGGAAGGGGACAAGGGGTCCAGTGGGAACAGGAGCTAACCAGGGGTTCAAGGTCAGGGCGTGGGGAGGGAGGGGCGCTGGTGACATGCATGGTTCCCGGGACCAGCCCGTCCTGCCATCCCAGAGGCCTCTGCATCCCACAGGCTGTGCACCCTGGAACGTGGTTGTGGCTTTAGGTGCTGCCACCAGGGGGCGTGGCAGAACTGTCTTTGGGGCTGACCACGGGCAGGCGGCCCCTCACCAAGCTGCTTCCTGTTGGTGCCATCAGAGTCTGGGCTATCCTCTCCTGAAGCCCTCTCTGGTCTCCACATGCCCCACCCCTTTGCCCTGTCCCTCTTGTTTCCTTCCAGGGTACCTCCTCACCTCCTGTCCAGGTCACCAGAGCTTCACCTGTGGACATGCCCCATTCCCTGATAATCCTTTCTTCATTCTCCATTTCTCCACCACTCCCAGCTCCCCCAGCACTCCCAGCTGCTCCACACTCAGTCCCCTGCTCCACACTCAGCCCCCAGCTCCCCCACCATTCCCAGCTGCTCCACACTCAGCCCCCAGCACCCCCACCACTCCCAGCTCCTCCACACTCAACCCCCAGCACCCCCACCACTCCCAGCTGCTCCACACTCAACCCCCAGCTCCCCCACCACTCCCAGCTCCTCCACACTCAACCCCCAGCACCCCTACCACTCCCAGCTCCTCCACACTCAACCCCCAACCCCCCCACCACTCCCAGCTGCTTCTCCATTCCCACCTGTTCTTCCTTCCTGGTGTTCTTCTCCCCAGACCTGGTCTGACTGTCCCTCCCAGTCCCTCATTACCTGGGGATGGACGTCTTCCGCTCTGACCTCCAGGCTCTCTTGAAGGCTGCTCCTTCCCTTTCTCCCCCTGAGCTCCTTGCTGTCTCAGACCCCTGCCCAAGGAGGCCTGTAACTCCAGCCCTTCTCTGTGCACTACACTTGGAGTGGGGTACCGCCCACTCAGCATATCCAGACTGGGCCCCCCACGCGTACTTCTTCCTGTCTCTGTCTTGGGGGCCATCATGTGCCCAGATCCCCATGAGAAACTGGTCCCAGCCACCTGTTTCTCCCTGCCCCTCCCTCTGCCGCCAGCTATGGGTTTTGCCTCCAAATATGTCCAAGCCACCCCCTTCCTCTCCTGTGCCTAGACCGGGTTCATGCCTACTCCCCACATCTGGTCCTGACACCTTCCATCCCTCCCTCCTGGGACGACCAGCCCCCCTCTTTGTATTACTGGCTCCCCTTGTCTCTCGGCTCTCAGCATCACTCTGCAGAGAGGACTTCCCAGCACGCCCTGGCTGAGGAGGGGTCCCTGGGCCACTCGCTGCACAGATCTCGAGGTCTGTGAGTACACATGTATCACAGCTTTGTCATCTGTCTCCCCACTGCACTGGGAGTGTCAGGAGAGAGGATGGGGGCCTCATGGGTGCCCTCCACCTTCCCCGGCCAGGCCCGGGCTCTGAGGTGGTGGGCTCTGGGCATGAGCAGGCCAGTGCGTGCTGCGAGGCCCAAGGCTCACGGACCTGACACGCCCACCTTGGTGCCCGCCCTCTCCCAGGCCCCTCCCACCTACTGCTGGCCAGCGTCTTCCTCTAGGGCTCCCTCAACATCACCTTTTCTGTTTTGTTTTAAATAGACTTTATTTTCTAGTGCAGTCTTAGCTTCATGGCAAAATGGAGCAGAAGGTACAGAGAGTCCCACACACTCCCTGCCCCCACGCATGCACGGCCTCCCTCACCATCACCCCCGCACACCCCCGCCCGCCAGAGCACACATTTATTAAGGCAGCCAACCCACACGGATGCGCCATCACCCCGAGTCCACGGCATCCGTTAGAGCCCACTCTTGGTGTTAGCCATTCCGTAGATTGGGACAAATGTAGGACACGGGTCCGCCATTTACAGAGAATGCAAAATGGTTTCATTGCCCTGAAAACCCTTGGCTCTGCCCGTTCCTCCCCCACCCTCCACCCCCGTAACCACTGATGGTTTTTACTGTCCCCACAGTTTTGCCTTTTCCAGAATGTCATGTGGTTGGACTCATGCACTATGTGGCCTTTTCTGATTGACTCCTTTCGCCTGGTAATAGCATTTATATTTCCTCTGTGTGTTTTCATGGCTTGACAGCTCATTTCTTTTTAGTGCCGAATAATATTCCATTGTTTGGCTCTACCACAGTTTATCCATTTACCCTCTCTCAAGAGCATCTTAGGCTTGTCCCAGTTTGGGGCATTTATGAATAAAGCTGCTATAAACACCGGTGTGGAAGTTTTGGTGTGGACATACATTTTCACCTCTTTTGGGTAAATCCCAAAGGGGATTTACCAGGGAGTGTGATTGCCGGATCATATGGTGAGAGTTTTGCAAGAAGCTGCCAAACTGTCTTCCCAAGTGGCTGCACCATTTTGTGTTCCCACCAGCAATGAATGGGCGTTCCTGTGGCTTCACGTCCTCACCAGCATTTGGTGGTGTTCGTGTTTTGGATTTTGGCCAGCTGATAGGTGTGTAGTGGTATATTGTTTTAATTTGCTATTTCCTACTGACATATGATGCTGAGCCCCTTTTCATGGCTTATTTACCATCTGCGTATCTTCTTTGGTGAGGTATCTGCTCAGAATGTTTGCCTATTTTTAAATTGGTTGTCCCTTTTCTTTTTGTTGAGTTGTAAGAGTTGTTTGTAAATTTTGGCTCGTAATCCTTTCATGGATATCTCATTTCTAGTTATTTTCTCCAGGTTTGGGGCTTGTTCTTCTTATTCTCTTGACAGTGCCTTCACAGAGCAGTTTTTAATCTTAATGAAATCGAGTTTCTCACTGGTTTCTTCTTGGATTGTGGTCCGCCCCCGCCTTATTAAAAAAAGAAAGAAAGAAAGAAACAGGGTCTCACTGTGTTGCCCAGGCTGGTCCCAAACTCCTGGGCTCAACTGATCCTCCTGCCTCAACCTTCCAAAGTGCTGGGATGCCAGGTGGGAGCCACTGGGCTCAGTCTTGTGTTTTTAAAACTCATCACCAAACCCTCGGTCATCTAGATTTTCTCCTGTGTTATCTTCTAGGAGTTTGATAGTTTTGCATTTCACATTTAGGTCTGTGATCATTCTGAGTGAATTGCTGTAGGGGTGGAATGTGTGTGTTGGGATTCATTTTGGGAATGTGAACGCCCCGTTGTTTGGCTCCATTTGGTGGAGGCTGTGCCCCATTGCATTGCTTTTGCCGCTTTGTCACAGACCAGTTGACTCTCCATGCGGATTTGTTTCTGGGCTCTCTCTCCGCTTTCACTGGTCTGTTTTGCCAACACCCTGTCGTGAGTACTGTAGCTTTATAGTAAGTCCGGAGCCTGCCAAGTCTTCAGAGTTGTAATCTGCCCCTATCAGATGTCCAAACCATGCCCCCAGGGCCCTGAGATCAGATCCCCAGGAGGGCCTGGCTGGAGTACCCATAGCCCTGAGCGCCAGGAGAGCAGGGTCTGCCTGCTGTGGGAGGTCTGTCCTCGTGAGGCCGGACACCCAGCCCTGGTTGTCCTGGTCCACCTGGTATGACCCTGCCCTGTTCCTGCTTCTCCCAAGCACCCGTGACCCTGGGAAGCCTGTCACAAACACCTCCCTGGACAACCCATGCTACAGAGTGCACCACGCCAATTGCCACCACAGCCTCAGGCAGCACTGTCACCCACAGCAGAGGCCGCCCTCACAATCTCACACTTCAGGAGCCCAGGTGGGACGCTAGCCAGGGTCCCTAGAGGTGGCTTTGCCGGCCCAGGCAGCCCCATCTCTCCGGGACCCCGCTGCTCCCTGGGTCCAGCCCAGGCCCTGATTCAGCAGCAGCTCCATAAAGAAGTAAAACGAGAATATTCACGGGGCCCACACTTAGTGGACTCCTGTCACATGGTGTCCAGCATGGCTCGTGGGTGAGGACAGCAAAACCACCAAGAAATGACCCGAGAGGCCAACAGCAGCTCCCTGGGAAGGCCACACTCTCCAGGAAGACATAGCAACTCTGAAACACACAACTTAGGTAGAAATCTAACAAGATATTTACAAGATCTGTGAGGAAAATTATAAAACTTTAATAAGTCAAAGAGGTAAAATGGAAAGATATTCCACACCCCTTATTATGCATAACTCCTTTTATTCCTGATAAGCTTCTTTGCTCTGAAGTGTGCTCTGAAATTAATATAGCTATTCCAGCTTTCTTGTGATTAATGTGAGTATGGTATTTCTTCCTCTGTTCATTTACTTTTAATCTACATGTGTCTATTTATTTATTTATTTATTTATTTATTTAGAGACAGAGTCTTGCTCTGCCACCCATCTCTACAGTGATGAGATCATGGCTCACTGCAACCTCCGCCTCCCGGGTTCAAGTGATTCTCCTGCCTCAGCCACCTGAGTAGCTGGTCTACAGGCACAAGCCACCACGCCTGGCTAATTTTTGTATTTTTAGTAGAGATGGGGTTTTGCCGTGTTGGCCAGGCTGGTCACGAACTCCTGACCTCAAGTGATCCGCCCGCCTCTGCCATCCAAAGTGCTGGGGTTACAGGCGTGAGCCACTGCGCCCAGCCATTGTTTTTATTTTTAAAGTGGGTTTTGTGTAGATAACATATAGTTAGGTCTTATTTTTTGATCCGTTTTGACAATCTCTGTCTTTTAATTGGTGCATTTATACCACTGACATTCAAAGTCACTGTTGATATAGTTGGATTAATATCTACCATGTTTGTTCCTATTTTCTATTTTTTGTTTTTGTTTTTTATTTTTTCTGCCTTTTGTGGTTTTAATTGACCATTTTATGATTTTATTTTCTATTCTTTCTTAGACATCAATTATACTTTTTCACATTTTCAGTGGTTACCCTAGATTTTGTGATACACATTTCCAACTATTTCAAGCCCACTTTCAAATAACACTGAACTGCTTGCTAATCGGTAGCCCAAGTATTTTTTGTTTTGTTGTTTTTTGAGACAGGGTCTTGCTCAGTCGCCCAGGCTGGAGTGCAGTGGTGTGATCACGGCTCACTGCATCCTGGAACTCTTGGCTCAGCCTCCTGAGTTGCTGGGACCACAGGCGCATGCCACAGCACCTAGCTAATTTTTGTATTTTTTATAGAGACGGGGTTTTGCCACGTTGCCCAGGCTGGCCTCAAACTCCTGGCTCAAGCAATCCACCTGCCTTGGCCTCCCAAAATGCTGGGATTATAGGCGTGAACCTCTGTGCCCCACCAAAAGTATCTTTTAATAACAGTATGTTCCCAATTCTTCACTCCTGTCCCCTGTATCACTGCTATTATTAGTTTCACTTATACATAAGCATATATAATCAAGTACATTGTTATAACTTTAACAAACTTTTGTCTGTTCCATTAAGATTAATGGCCAGGCATTGTGGCTCATACCTATAATCCCAACACTTTGGGAGACTGAGGTGGGAGGATCGTTTGAGGCCAGGAGTTCAAGACCAGCTTGAGCAACATAGTGAGAGCCCATCTCTCCAAAAATTAAAAAACGAGCTGGGCATGGTAGTGTGCACCTGTGGTCCCAGCTACTTGGGAGGCTGAGGTGGGAAGATCGCCTGAGCCCAGGTGATCAAGATTGCAGTGATTACACCATTGCACTCCAGAACAAGACCCTGTCTCAAAAAAAAAAAGAGTAAGAAAAATAAAAGCTTTTATTACCTTTCTTATTCCTTCTCGATCACTCGTGCCTTTCTTTATGTAAATCCAAGTTTCTGACTTGTACATTTTTTTTCCTCTCTAAAGAACTTTTAACACCTTTTGCAAAGCAGGTCTACTAGTAACAAATTCTCAATTTTTGTCTAAGTCTATTTTTCCTTGACTTTTGAAGGATAATTTCGCTGGATACAGAATTCTAGGCTTGTGGATTTTTTCTCAACACTTTAAATATTTCAGTCCACTGTATTTTTACTTGCACAGTTTCTGTAAAGTCAAAACTAATTCTATAAGAAATGAATGTATTCTTTGTCTGTAGTTTAGGTGTTCCTCCCCACCCGCTGCTGGCTTCTTTCAAGATTGTTTCTTTAACTTTCTGCAGTTTCAATACCAAATGCCTAGGTGTAGATTGGGCATGATACCGCTTTTAGCCTGCTCTAAAACACAAGCAGGACTTGGTGCCTGGACAGGCACCCAGCAGGGGAGACAGTTCCAGGACTCACCCCAGCTGCTGCGAGCGTTTCCCTGCAGGAATGGGATGTGGCTGGGGAAGGGGTGTGGCTGTGGAAGAGGTGTGGCTGCGGAAGCCTTCCAGGCTCCTGCTGGGTCTGGAAGTGCTCCCTACCCCCGTGTCTGTGTTGCTTTCCTGGGGCCTCCAGCCGTGGTGAGAAAGGCGTGGGTGGGGGCCGAGGGAGGGGCTGGCTGGCTTTAGACTGTGCTGCTGCGTAGATGGGTGCCTGGCAGCCTCCCTGGGCACAGCCGTGGAAGAGACTGCCATCTCCGTCAGCCTCAGTCACCCCGACCCTGAGGCCCAGCGGCTGTCCTAGAGGGGAGGAACTGGAACCTGGGAAGTCGACCAGGTGTGCACCATGGGGTCATTGGCCGGCACTAACCACCAAGTGGCTTCAGGGGTGGGGGCAGCCTGGGTAGACCAGGCCAGGAGACCGGCCCAAACCAAACGGCTGACTCACGGGATTGTGAGCAAATACAATGATGGTTTCAAGCCACTAACAAAATCTCTCAATTTCACTTAGCGTCATGTTCTCGGGGCCCATCTGTGTTGCAGCGTGTGTCAGAGTTTCCTTCTTATGGCTGAAAAATATTCCATCGTGTGCGTGGGCCACATTTTGTGTGTTCATTCCTCTGGCGATGGACGCTCGGGCTGCTTCCATGTTTTAGCTGGTATGAATAATGCTGGCGTGAACATGGGCGCCAGGTGTCTCTCTGAGACTCACTTTCGGTTCTGCTGGGCCCACGCCTGGAAGTGGAATTGCCGCGTCATGTGCTCGTTCTGACTTGAGGAACTAACTGCCTTCCTGCTCTCCCTGCAGCTGCGCCATCTTCCAACCCAGCAGCGCTACACAAGGCTTCCGGTTTCCCCACATCCTCGCCGACACTTGTCACTGTTTTTGTTGATAATGGATGTGAGGTGGTTGTGGGGATTTCTTGCCAGGCCTTCCCGGGGAGCTGCTGTTGGCCTCTCGGGTCATTTCTTGGTGGTTTTGCTGTCCTCACCCACGAGCCATGCTGGACACCATGTGACACGAGTCCCCTAAGTGTGGGCCCCGTGCATATTCTCATTTTACTTCTTTATGGAGCCACTGCCGACTGCAGGGTCCGGGCTGGACCCGGGGAGCAGTGGGGTCCCGGAGAGATGGGGCTGCCTGGGCCGGCAAAGCCACCTCTAGGGAACCTGGCTAGCATCCCATCTGGGCTCCTGAAGTGTGAGATTGTGAGGGTGGCCTCTGCTGTGGGTGCCAGTGCTGCCTGAGGCTGTGGTGGGAATGGAGCAGGGCACTCTGTAGCGTGGATTGTCCAGGGAGGTGTTTGTGACAGGCTTCCCAGGTCACGGGTGCTTGGGAGAAGCAGGAACAGGGCAGGGTCATCCTGGGTGGACCCGGATGACCAGGACTGGGTGCCTGGCCTCAAAAGGACAGACCTCCCTGAGCGGGCAGACCCTGCTCTCGTGGAGCTCAGGACTGCCGGGGCTCCAGCCAGTCCCTTCCCCGCTCCTCCTGGGGACCTGATCTCAGGGCCCTGGGGGCGTGGTATGGACGTCTGACGGGGCAGATTCCATCTCTGGTGATGACTTGGCAGGTCCCCAGCGAGAGGAGCGCAGCACCCTGGCTGGTGCTGCGGTGGGGGCGAGGGGAAGGCGGGGCAAGGCGTTCTTCCCACGGCCAGGCCACCGAGTCGCCTGGAGGGCCTCATGAGGAATGAGTTTCACTGCCCAGACAAGCAGTGTTGGCCAGCCAGGCCTAGTTCCTGATTCCAGCTCAGCAGCTGACTCTCCTGCCATGGGACCTCAGACAAATCATGTGCCCGCGGCGGCTCCAGAGAAAGGGGCTGAGGACACCTGCTCATGGGGCTTGCAAGGACTTGAACTGCATGCGTGCGCGGGTGTGCACATAGGCACGTGTGACGTGTGTATCCGTGCGTGTGCAGGTGTGCACATAGGCACGTGTGATGTGTGTATCCGTGCATGTGTGTGTGCGGGTGTGCAGCGCACCTGTGGGCAGGCAGGTGTGTGTGCACACGTCTGCACATAGTCATGTGTGATATGTGTATCTGTGCACATGTGTAAGCCTCTGGGACCAGGTCCGGTAGGCCCCAGCCTGCAGGTGTGGCATGAATGGTAACTATTTTTACTGCCTTGCAGTGTGAGTTACCTTCTTAGAAAACCACTGCAGCCACAAGAAAAACAAACAGCAGCCAGTCATTTAGAGACACGGGCTGGGTGCTGAATGCAGCAGAGCCTTTCTATGGCGAATGCGGAGCCTGTGGCCGGCAGGAGCCGGGAGGGCATCGTCTCTAAGCCTGCAGCTGGCCGGGTGCTCCCGCTCCTGTGGTGGTGGCAGTCCAGGGCTATCAGGCGCTCTGGCTGTCCCGGCTCCCGCCTCTGCCTGGTGGGCAGAGGGGAGGATTGGCAGTTTGCTCCTGCCGTGTGGCGTGTGGCTTGTGGGACGCCCACATTGCCGGTCCTCAGGCTGCGGCTGGGACACACCTTCCGAATTTTCCGAGGACCAAGTGCGGTCACACACAGGACCATGCTGTAAACCTGCGCGGCTCCGAGCGAGTGCACGGGGCTGGCGGGCCCTCGATTCGTCAGCAGTCGGGGTCAGTGCTGGCCCAGAGCCAAGGCGGCTCGTGGGTGTCTGGGAGGTTTGGGGTTGCTCAGAGGAGCCCCCCAGGTCAGACTTGGTGCTCCAACCCCTTCTGGAATTCTTTGGTCCATCCCAGAGCTCGGCTCACATTCTTCTCCCATCTTTTAGGCCTTCTGGAACCTTCCAGGGCCCTGTTGCTCCCACTACTTCTTCTGAGGGCGTGCCTACCACGTGCTGGCTCTGTACGTATTTTACCTCATTTAGCAGTTGCTGCAGATGTGCATTGTAGCCGTATCGGAAACCCAGCGCTGCTGTGGCAAAAAATCACCACACCCCAAACCAGCAGAGATTCACCCCACACCCCCACACCAGCAGAGATTCACCCCACACCCCCAAACCAGCAGAGATTCACCCCACGCCCCCAAACCAGCAGAGATTCACCCCACACCCCCAAACCAGCAGAGATTCACCCCACGCCCCCAAACCACCAGAGATTCACCCCACGCCCCCAAACCACCAGAGATTCACCCCACGCCCCCAAACCAGCAGAGATTCACCCCACGCCCCCAAACCAGCAGAGATTCACCCCACGCCCCCAAACCAGCAGAGATTCACCCCACGCCCCCAAACCACCAGAGATTCACCCTCCCACAGTTATGGTGCCAGAAGTCCAAGGTCAAGGTGTGAGCAGGGCTGGCCCCCGAGGCCGTGAGTGGGGTCTGTCCCAGGCCGCTCCTGGCTTTGTGGCCTGAGGTCTTCCGTGCTTCTTGGCTGGCGGAAGCACTGCCACGGCCTCGGCCCCGTGTCATGTGGCCTGTTCTCTCTCTGTGTGTCTGGGTGGGTCAGGGCCCACCCAGCTGACCTTGCTTTAACCTCGTTACCTCTGTGCAGACCCTGCCTCCAAATAAGGTCACACTCACAGGTCTGGGGTCAGGACCTCAACACATGGCTGTGGGGGACACAGTTCAGCCCAGGAGGGAAACTGAGGCACGAAATGGGGTGCATTTCCTGAGGCCCCATGGCTCATAAGGAGACGAGGGGCTGCGGGTTGGGGTCCCAGATGCCCTCTCAACACAGCAGCCACCATCCTGGCTAGTCCCAGGCCCTCCTGGGTCCCCCGTCTTTACTCAGGGTGGCCCTGTGTGCCTGGCCTGTCCTCAGGTCACCCTGACTCTAGTATGGGACACCCCACCTCAGAGGGCACCTCCTCGGGGTTGGGTTATGGTTTTTTTAAGTCTCTTGGAACGCCCCCCCGATGGCGTGGGCCCAGCTGTTGAGGAGGTGGGGCTGTGGTCTTGGCTGACGGTGCGGTGCCCGCATACCTGACCTGGTTAGGACCTCCAATCTGGAATTGCTACTGACTCAGTTTCCCCACATGGAAGCCACCCCTCATGCCAGCGACGGGCCTTCTTTTCTGTCCCCTGCTGTGGCCTCCCTGGCGGGTCTTCTGCACCCTGTGTGGCCTGGGTTCTTGGCCCCAGGGGAAAAGGGGGCTCCTGCTGGGGGCAGAGAGGGAGGGGCAGGGCAGGGCCCGGAGAGAGATCTCAGGATTGTCTTCGGATGGCACGGCCTGGTCCCTCAGGTTCTGATCATTTTCTTCATTTTCACGACTCCCTGCACTTTCTGGTTTTGGGTGAGGCCAATAGCAGAAGTATTAAAATATTCCTCCTTGGGCGTCTCATGGTGTTTCTGATCTGGGCTGAAACAGGAAGCTCTGTGAGCTGATGTGGCACCGGAAGTCTCTGGGAGCCTGGGCTGTGATCCGGCCCAGCCCACCCTGGTGGGGAACGCGTCCTGGGGACCGTGCTGGGTTTTGGGAAAACACTGGGTCACCCTCTCCCATTGAAAGATGGCCTGGGGGAGCTGGGTCCTGTCTACGTGAGTTTGCCGGGGCCGCCTCGCACACACCGTGGCCAGGTGCTCCCACAGCAGATGTGGGTTCTCTCCAGTCCTGGGGGCGTCCCGGGTTGAGGTGCGGCGTGGCTGTTACGAGGCCTCTCCTTGCAGGCAGGCGGCACCACCTCCCTGTGTCCTTGCGTGGCCGCCCCTCCTGCGTGTCTGTGTCCTCCTCTTTTAAGGACGCCGGTAGGTCAGGTCAGAGCCCACCCTGGTAACCTTGTTTCACCTTTGTCGCCTCTGTAAAGACCCTGTGTCTGAATACAGGCGGATCCTGAAGTCGGGACTTCACTCTGTGAATTTGGGGGACGCAGTGCAGCCCATAACCTTATCTTTTGTGTGTGTGTGTGTGTGTGTTTTAAATCTGTATGAGGGCTGATGGCAAAGCAGTTAGCTGTGTTGTGTAGACAACGCCGTGGCCAGAACAGAGCTTGTTCTCGGGCAAAAGGAGAGTGAGGAAGCTGAGCAGGGATGGCGTCCCAGAGGCCTCGGAGGCCCTGACATGGTCCAGGAGGCCCCAGGAAGGCTCTTGCTGTCCCTAAGCCCAGAGGTTTTCAGGGGTCTATGTGAATTGTCACTTTTTTTCTTTTTCTTTCTCTTTTCCTTTTTTTTTCTTTTTTTTTTTTTTTTTGAGACAGAGTCTCACTTTGTTGCCCAGGCTGGAGTGCAGTGGTGCGATCCTAGTTCGTTGGAACCTCCGGCCTCCTGGGTTTATGTGATTCTTCTGCCTCAGCCTCCCCAGTAGCTGGGACTACAGGTGCCCACCACCATGCCCGGCTAATTCTGTTTTTGTTTTGTTTTGTTTTGTTTTGTTTTGTTTTTTTAGGAGAGATGGGATTTCACCCTGTTGGCCAGGCTGCTCTTGAACTCCTGACCTTGGGTGATCCACCTGCCTCGGCCTCCCAAAGTGCTGGGATCACAGGCATGAGCCACCACGCCCGGCCCACATTTCCTTTTTTTAATTGGTAGAATCTATACAAAACACAAGGTTTACCACTTTAGCCACTTTAAAGAGCTCACTTGGTGTCCCCAAGGGCCCGTGGTGCCACCACTGCCAGTGCACAGGCCCGGCCCCTCCCCCGCCAGGCCTGTCTCTAAGGCCTTGCCCACCCACCCCTCCCCCTACCCAGGCCTGTCTGTCTCTAAGGCCCGCTGTGGCCACACGTGGACCCCACACCCTGGAGAACCTGGGCTTGTCCTTGGAGGAAGTAATAACAAAGAGCCCACCTGGTCGTGGATCCCAGCTCTGCACCAATGGCCGTGAGACCGGGGCCCCTGCCTCAGTTTCCTCATCTGTCAGTGAGCCTGGACCAGGGTAGTGAGGTAGTGTGGGAGGCCATTGCAGTCCTGGGCACAGCCCTGGGGGCCAGGAGACGCCTCCATCAGCCGTGGGCCCAGGCGCTGCCAGCAGCAGGGCAGTCCCTGAGGGTCTCCCCCGGAGCACTCCAGACCCCCTTCCCCTCCGGATCCCCGCACGCCTCCGCTCCTCAGCAGATGACAGGCCAGCTGCTCTCCTGGGCTGGTTCTGCAGCGCCGACTGAGGTGAGGGCTCCTGTGCAGGTGACACGAAGGAGGGATGTGCAGATGAGGGGACAGGTGAGGGGCAGGGCAGGGCCTCCCTTAACCCACCCCCTATGGCCCTGGCACAGAGGTTCCAGTACCTGCGCTCCAGGGGCAGGGCCTCCCTTAACCTGCCCCCCATGGCCCAGGCACAGAGGTTCCAGTACCTGGGCTCCAGGCAGAGTGTATCTAGCACCCCAGAGACCGAGGCGGGCTGTACCGTTGGCTGCTGGGAGCGAGAGCCCTGGCTGGGTAGGCAGGGGACGGGGAGGGGAGAGCATGAGGGGACCCTCCCAGCAGCCTCTGCATGCGGGCAGCCGGCCTGCCACCCTGGGCAAGCGGGAGGGGCTGCCTTGCCAAGGGACCCTCACAGATGAGGTGTGAGGGACAGAGACCCCCGACGGCTGCTGGAGGCACCCACGGGGCTCCCTGGAGCCTCCCTGTGGTCCTGGGTCCCCTTACCCGATTGTTGCAGGAGGGGCCAGCACAGGGCAGGTGCCTGAAGAGCAGGTGCCGGAAGAGCTACCGCAGCCCAGGCAGCAGGGGAGGAAGTCAGTCTCCCTCGGGGGGGTTTCCAGACAGGGGCCGCTTTTGTTGAGGGCACAGAATGTCTCCAAAAGGTCGGTTCGTTATCACGAGTCACCAGAGAGAGGGGAACGGAGAGAGGAACGCCGCAGCCTCCAGTTCCCCTTCAGCTCTGTGCCCAGGAGCAGTGGCTGGGTGAGGGTGGGAGCCAGGCTCCCCGAGAGGGCAGCAGCGGAGGCTGCACCGTCCCTGTCCTGCCTCTGCCCCTGCCCTGTCCTGCCCTGAGTCCCTGCCCCCTCCTTGTCCTGCCTCGTATCCCTGCCCCCTCCCTGTCTTGCCCCGCATCCCTGCCCTGTCCGTGTCCCTGCCCCTGTCCCTGCCCCTGCCCTGCCCCTCTCTGTCCTGCCCCACGTCCCTGCCCCTCTCCCTGCCCTGCCCCACGTCCCTGCCCCGTCCCTGTCTTGCCCCATGTCCCTGTCCCTGCCCCACGTCCCTGTCCCTGCCCCACGTCCCTGCCCTCATCCCTGTCCTGCCCTGCATCCCTGCCCTGCCCCTGCGCCTGTCCTGTCCCGTGTCCCGCCCCGTCCCTGCCCCTGTCCTGCCCTGCGTCCCTGCCCCATCCCTGTCCGTACCCCTGTCCTATCCCGCATCCCTGCCCCTGTCCCTGCCCCTGCCCTGCCCCTCTCTGTCCTGCCCCACGTCCCTGCATGGGTCCTGGGCCTCAGCACCAGGTTCTGGGCCCGCTTCCTTGCAGCCCCTTCCCCAGAGCCCACCAAAGACCCGAATCCTCACACTCTCGGGACAGGTAGCTGTGGGTGGCTGAGAGGGACTGGCCCCTCCCTGGCCAAGTCCACAATGTCAGGACCCTTGCTGCCCTCCTGCTTCGGGCTCAGCCCCAATGCCCCCGATTTGAAGTGAAGCTGCCCAGTGCCCTCTCTGGGGCCCTCCCAGGAGATGCAGGCTGGAGGGGCTGCCCTGGAAAGCCCTTCCTTTCCCTAGAGAGGTCCCCGCCCTGAGAGGGAAGGGCCCGGGCGATGATTCCAGGCTGGGAGGAGGAAGGCGCGTGCCAAGCGCTCCTCGGAGTTGATGCCCCATGGCGTAATGTGCAGCTGCTGCTGGAGAAGAGATGCAGGCAGATTACTGAACCCTGAGAAATGAAAAAGCATGATCGCGGTCTTGCCAGCATAGGCGGCCGTGGTCCGTGCTTGCAAGTCTGAGGGCGGAGGAGCCCGCCGCCCGCTTCTCATGGGCCCACCCCTGTGATCCAGCATCTGTAAAACTCCCTGGGAGGCCACAGCCTGCCCTGGCCCAGCCCCTGGGACCGCGAGGGCCGTGTGATACTTTCTCCAGTGGCATTTACAGAAAACTTCCCTCTGCCCTACCATTTTAGTTGGCTTTGGGATAGTTTGCAGTATTTCCTGATTAAAATAATGTTGAGAAGAACATTTGGGCCTCTGAGGCCTTTTCCCTAGGGTATTTTCTGAGAAATGACAGAGATTCAAGGGCTGTGAACATTTTGTAGCCATGTTGTGTTATAGAAAAGCATGTGCGTTCCCACATGCGGGCTGCTCTTCTGTGGGATTCTTCAGACTGGACATGCGGTGCGGGGCTGGACATGCAGTTGGGGGGGCTGGACACGCATTGGGGGGCTGGACACACGGCAGGGGGGCTGGACACGCGGGGGGGCCGGACACGCGGCGGGGGGGCTGGACACGCGGTTGGGGTGCTGGACATGCGGTGGGGGGCTGGACACGGGGGCTGGACACGTGGCGGGGGCTGGACACGCAGGGGGGCTGGACACAGCAGGGGGCTGGACACGCAGCAGGGGGGCTGGACACGCGGCAGGGGGCTGGACACGCGGCAGGGGGCTGGACACGCGGCAGGGAGGCTGGACACGTGGCGGGGGGCTGGACACGCGGCAGGGGGGCTGGACACGTGGCGGGGGGCTGGACACGTGGCGGGGGGCTGGACACACGGTGGGGGGGCTGGACACTCACTCGGGGCCTGGATACATGTGGAGGTCTGGGCAGGCAGGGGCCTGTGTGTCAGGTGCCCATGGCATATGGTATGAGCCCTGCTTTTCTTTTCTTCTTTTCTTTTTTTTTTCGAGACAGAGTTTTGCTCTTGTTGCCCAGACTGGAGTGCAATGGTGCAATCTTGGCTCACTGCAACCTCCGCCTCCTGGGTTCAAGGGATTCTCCTGCCTCAGCCTCCCGAGTAGCTGGGATTACAGGTGCCTGCTACCACACCCAGCTCATTTTTGTATTTTTAGTAGAGACGGGGTTTCACCATGTTGGCCAGGCTGGTCTTGAACTCCTGACCTCAGGAGATCCACCGGCCTCGGCCTCCCAAAGCGCTGGGATTACAGGTGTGAGCCACCGTGCCCGGCTAAGCCCCGCTTTTCTAGATCTTGGGCTGGGGGAGAAAAAGGAAGCCGTTTCCTCTCCACTCCCAGGGCCCAGGGAAAGGGAGGTGGTCCTGGCCCCCTGGGGAGGGCAGGACTTTGGTTGTAGGGTTGGCCCCCAGAGCCAGGGGTGGAAAGGGTCTCCAGGGGAGCTGGTGGGTCCTTCCCCGCTGGGCTCTGCTCAGCCTGTGGTGGCCACGTGGCAGGGGCCCCATCCCAGACCTTCAGCCACTGCCAGCCCGGCCAGCCTGCGTCTGACGATGTCAGTTCTCTCGGGTTTCCTTGATCAGGCTTCCTCAATGCCCAGAGCTTTGGGATACTTCGTGGTGGCTCTCCGGGATCCAGGTGGCCACCGTCCTCCCTGGCTCTCTGTGTTGCCCACTCCTGAGGCCCTGGCTCCTGGATGCTTCAGCCTACGTGTGCCTCCTCGCTCTGTTTTCGTGGGTGCTACCCCTACGCAGGGCCCACCTCCTGGCTTCAGCCCCTGCCCACTCTTTGAGCAGGGGTGGATCTCCCCAACACTCTGGCCCACACAGCTGTGCTTGCGGCCAAATGACACAGGCGCGGCAGAGACTCTTGGAGCCTCTTCTTGAGGGGGACTCAACCTTGGGCTTCCATGTGCAACCCTGCCGAGTCCAACGGAGCAGGAACCCAGAGTCAGGTCAGAGAGAATCCCACCCCGATGTCTGAGCTCCAGGAGCAGATCAGACCTCAGTCCTCGACGCCTTCAGCAGGATGCCCCGGCCCTGCCGCACCCTCCTGGTGATTTTCCAGCCACGGACCCCCTCACTTCTCGGCTGTGAACCCCCCTTGTCCTGCTGCACCCAACATAGAGCCCGTCTCTCCCTCACTGCGGGAGTCCATAATGAAGTCTTCCTTGCCATTACGATAAGCACCAGGATAATTTTTCCTTAACAGGTTCTCTCTAGACTGGATCAGGGACAGTCTTGGCTGTAAATTGTGAATTAGCTGTGACTCTGCCACCCACGGTTGCCCGCCAGAGTTCTTTCTAAATGTTCTATCTGAGCCTGGCCGTTGCTCCTGGCTCTGGAGGTGCCAGAGTTTCTGAACGTTAATCTGAGCCTGGCCGTTGCTGCTGGCTCTGGAGGTGCCAGAGTTTCTGAACGTTAATCTGAGCCTGGCCGTTGCTGCTGGCTCTGGAGGTGCAGTCACACCACCCTGGCTGACACGCCTCGGCCTGACCTGCAGTCTCACCCCACAGAAGGATCTGGGGTGAACGTCTGGCTCCAGGCACTGTTGCAGGGCTGTTGGGTCCTGTGTCTGAGCCCACAAAGGCTTCCTGGGAGCGGCATCGCCAGCCCTGTGGACCCTGCTCCCTATGGGCTTCTGGGTATAGATCAGGTGCCCAGCATGCGCCCCCAGACAGGAGCTGCCCTCTGCCCTGCCTCTGGGACCCACTTTCACCCAAGTCCTGTGGGACTGGCATAGCCTAGGGCCCGGGTGCTGGCAGCGTCTGGCTGGAGCCTGGGGCGGGGCAGGGCAGGGCCTTCCAGGCGCGTTCCCGAGCGTGCACTGAAGGTGTTAGCGCGTGGCACCGGAGACACCAGGCTGGATGAGGCTGGACAAGCGCCTCCGCCAGAAGCAGCACAGGCCTGACACAGGCAAACCTCCCGGAGACCACCCCACGGACCCCAGCCCCTGCTGACCCTCCCAGGAGGCGTTGCTGGAAATCCACCCTGAGAATTCTGCTCCAGGAGCTGAACCAGCAGTATCAGCATCTTAAAGCACTGACCTACCTCTCGGCTGTGTGATATCTAGGGGTCCGTCCCAGACCAGCATCCCCAGGGCTGACGGGTCTGCAGGGCACAGAGATGTGGGACCTGCTGTGTCTCTGCCCCACAGTGGCCATGCTGGGACACAGAGCTGCTGCTTGGGGAAGGGACAGATTCAGACACAGTAGTGGGTTAACCTGAGGCCCTCTCAAAAGACATGTCCACCTAGAACCTCGGGAAGGGACACGTCCGCCTGGAACCTCGGGAAGGGACGCGTCCGCCTGGAACCTCGGGAAGCGACGCGTCCGCCTGGAACCTCGGGAAGGGACGCGTCCGCCTGGAACCTCGGGAAGGGACGCGTCCGCCTGGAACCTCGGGAAGGGACGCGTCCGCCTGGAACCTCGGGAAGGGACGCGTCCGCCTGGAACCTCGGGAAGGGACGCGTCCGCCTGGAACCTCGGGAAGGGATGCGTCCGCCTGGAACCTCGGGAAGGGATGCGTCCGCCTGGAACCTCGGGAAGGGACGCGTCCACCTGGAACCTCGGGAAGGCCTTTGCAGATGTGATCGAGTTAAGGATCTCAAGATTCAAGATAAGGTCACCCCAGGTTGCCTGCCTGGGCCCTGAGTCCAGTGGCGTGTCCTGGAGGGAGACCAGCAGAGGTGGAGGGCACGTCCATGGGCTGAGAAGGGCAGGACTGTGACAGGAGGGAGGTGCAGGGCGGATCCCCAGAGCCACTGCCTCCCCACGCTTGACCTCAGGCTCCTGGCCCCAGAACCATGAGGGAATAAACTGTCCTTTTAAGCCCTCTGCTGTGTGATGATTGGCAGTGCCAGCAATGGGAGCTGATACAGACCCTGATCGGGGACCCAGACACCTGGCAGCTTGGGCTGGGCCCCTTCGAGTTAAAGCTGGCCTTGCTGCTACCTGTCCCTCGCTGAGTCCTCGCTGCGCACTGTGGCTGCACCTGGCAAGCACAGGGAGCCCCTGGGGTCCTGTGGGTGCAGACATGGGTCCCTCGGTCTGGGTGGCTGAGATGGAGCCCCTCCCCAGTTCCGGGGAGCACTGGGCCGGGGACCACCCATGAGTGGTGAGTATCTCTCCCGCTGCACCTTGAGGTCACCCAGGAACCTTCAGAAGTGCTGATGCGGGGACCCCGCTCCCCACTGTCCAGGGTGGACTGGCTAGGCGGTGGCCTGGGCATCGGGACACATTACAGCTCTCCAGGGAGCGCGGTGTGCAGCCAGGATGGAACCCGTGGTCCTGGTGCTGAGGATGGCGGGTGCCTGCCTCCATCTCCGTGGGCCAGCCTTCGGGGCCCCGTTTCCTGGAGCAGCGAGGGCTTCACGTGGCTGTTGAGCTGCAGAAGGAGGGGCCCTCCCGGCACCCCATTCAGAGCCAGCGGAGGAATCTGAAGGCATGGGGAGGGCGGGGTGGAGCCGAGGTTGCAGAGAGGCTGGACCCTGAAGCCTCAGGAGTTCAACTGGCACGGGGTGCGGGGAGTGGCAGCCGGGAAGCCGGCCTGGGGCTTTCTCCTCTCGGCCTCCTTTGCTGGCGTCTCAGGTGGAGGGGCCTGTGTGGCAGGCGGGTGGCCTGAGGGTGAGGGGCCTGTGTGGCAGGCGGGTGGCCTGAGGGTGAGGGGCCTGTGTGGCAGGCGGGTGGCCTGAGGGTGAGGGGCCTGTGTGGCAGGCGGGTGGCTTGAGGGTGAGGGGCCTGTGGGGCGGGCAGGTGGCCTGAGGGTGAGGGGCCTGTGGGGCGGGCGGTGGCTGCAGCGTGGAGATTGTTGTCAGCACAGAATTGTGGCACCAGTTGTTGAGACGCAGTGACAGGCAGATGACTGGCCAGGCAGTGACAGGCAGATGGCTGCCCAGGCAGTGACAGGCAGATGGCTGCCCAGGCCGCGGCCTTGTCTGCACCTGCCTGAGCATGCAGAGAGGCCCCCACACTGGTCACCCAGGGTCCGGGTGTGCCCACAGATGCTGCCCCCGCGCTGTGGGCAGCCCTGGCCCAGGCAGGTTCTCTGGAGCTGCTCCCGCCCAGTGCAGGCCGTGTGCAGGACCTTTGTTTATCCCCCTGGATGTTGAACTTGGCCAGCGTACGGCACTGAAACAAAGGCCCTGACTGCTGCCTGAACCCGCCCCGGGCTCACTTCCATGCCCAGGCCTGCGGGAGGGGCTGGGGTGTGCAGGAGAGTTGGGCGTTGGGAGGCCACCCCACCGCGTGCCTGCAGTGCCCTCTTCTCGGCCCCAGTCCCCAGCATATCCATGGGGTGCCTTCCAGTGTGGGTTTCGGGAACCTCCACATTCCAGCCTGGAGTCCTGGCCATGGGGAAGGGACGCCCACTGTGCTCATCCCGTGCGGCCGCCTCGTGCCCATCAGAGGCTGCACCAAACCCCGTGCGCCCTCTGGGCGATCAGAGCCGGAGGCCTCAAGTGGCCCAGCCCTGCTGGCTGCTGCGGGACCTCAGCTGCTGTGGGGCAGGCGTCTATGGGTTCCCAGGGCCCTCCCCTCCCCACAGGGGTGTGAGGAGGTGCAAAGGGGATGCCTCCTGGCCTGACCCCACGGCCAGACCAGTCCTGTGTGTCCTGAGTGAGGACGCCTATCCCTGAGCCCCAGAAACGCACCAGGAGGCAGGTGTGAGACGGCTGTGTCCCCAGCTCCTGCTGCAGTTGGCCCACAGCGGGCCCCTACGAGGCTGGGCGGTGAGGGGACGGCTCGGACCGCCCGCGCCCCAGGACCCCTGTGTCGGCCTCATCCTGCGCCTCAGCCCCAAACCCTGCAGCTCCCGGGACCCTGGCACCCGGTCACCCTCCACAGCGCCACGGGGCTCCTCTGACCCCACCCTTGTTGCCAGCCCAGCCGGAGTCTGACTTCTCCGTGGTGCCGCCCCCACCCCCGGGAATGACATGCCGGGGCGGTGGAGCCAGGCCCTGGGCCCGGGGGCAGGACAGGCAGGGACCATGAGCAGCTCCACAGAAACCCTTCCCCAGGGCTTCAGGGGCCAGGCGGGACCCCCACTTCCGGGAGGAGACCCCAGTGCCCCTCACGCTCAGGGGTGCGGTGGGTGGAGAGATTCGGAGGGGAGAGCTGGGGGCTCCGGAGGAGGGGCTGTGGGTGGGACCCCATCCCCCTCTGGCTGCAGCAGGCAGTGAAGCTGCATCAGGGGCTCCACCCTGCTGACCACAGTCCTGGGGCACCCAGTGGAGGCCGGAGACACCAGCAGGTTCTCCTGGTCACATGGCCCCACCTGCCCTGTCCCCCAGAGCCCCCCAGGCTTGGGATGAGTTGCGAGGGGTCGGATGGACGGCGCAGGACACACGACACAGAGTAGTTGTGGCGGTTGCCCCTAGGGAGACGTGGAGAGAGGCCCCAGGGCACCCTGGAAGCGGAGGCTGTGGCTCCGTGTGTCCCAGGGCACAGCACCGCCCCTCACAGCCGAAGCTCTGATCCCTTGGTCTCAGGAAACACTCAGGAAGTGCAGGGCGGGCGTGGGTCTGATTTCAGGGTGAGGGAGCTGGCAGCCCCAGGAGTGAGGAGGCCCCAGTCCCCTTTCACCAAGCCCGTCCTCCCCTTCCCGCTGCCACGACACTGGTGCCTGCAGCCGTGCCAGCTAGGAGGGCGACGTGGACAGGATTTCTCTCTAGAAAGGATCCTGGGGTCCGATTGAGAAGCTGGCTTGAACGTTAGACGCTGTAGCTCAGAGCACTGGGTATGCACCCAGAAGGAGAAGTGCTCATCACATGGTAATTCTTTTGTTTTGTTTTTTTAAGAAAAAGGTCTCACTCTTTGCCCAAAGCAACTTTCTTATTTATCTTTGCATCTTAAGAGTCTAAAACAATGACTGGCATGAAGTATACAAACTATACATCGCCTAGTAAGTGGATAAAACGATTAATTAATTTGCCCAACATTCAAAACGTGATGGGGTGGGATTCACAGCCATGACTTCTCATTGCAACGCTCAAGCTCCTTGTGCTGCTCCACGCCGCCTTTCGGTACACGAGAAGCTGAGGATCCACGCCGCCTTTCCGTACATGAGAAACTGTAGGATCCACGCCACCTTTCAGTAGAGAAGCTGTAGGATCCACACCGCCTTTCCGTACACGAGAAGCTGTAGGATCCACGCCGCCTTTCCGTACACGAGAAGCTGTAGGATCCACGCCACCTTTCAGTAGAGAAGCTGTAGGATCCACACCGCCTTTCCGTACACGAGAAGCTGTAGGATCCACGCCGCCTTTCCGTACACGAGAAGCTGTAGGATCCACGCCACCTTTCAGTAGAGAAGCTGTAGGATCCACACCGCTTTTCAGTACACGAGAAACTGTAGGATCCACGCCACCTTTCAGTACACGAGAAACTGCAGGACAAATGACCGTATGCCCAGGTTCCAATGGCAAAACGCCACACCTCTTATGATACTATCTTTGTGCACATAAAATGTTCATTTTTGTCTAATAAATAAGTGACTTGTAATTAGTAAGTGATTGCTCAATGACTTAAAACCTACAATATCTCTAATTTCTTCTAATGGAAACTTCTGAGGCCATTTAGGGACATCCACAGATAGCGAACAGCGACATTGGAAAGAGGACATTGAGTGTGGGGAAGTCTGCACAGTTCCACCTGTTGGATTGTTTGATGTGTGGTGGTGCAGACATGGACACGATCCATCTTGGTTTTTTTGTTTTGTTTTGTTTTTGAGATGATGTCTCACTCTGACACACAGGCTGGAGTGCAGTGGCTCGATCTCGGCTCACTGCAAGCTCCTCCTCCCAGGTTCAAGCAATTCTCCTGTCTCAGCCTCCTGAGTAGCTGGGACTACAGTCACATGCCACCATGCCCGGCTAATTTTTGTATTTTTAGTGGAGACGGGGTTTCATCATATTGGCCAGGCTGGTCTTGAACTCCTGACCTCAGGTGATCGGCCCGCCTCGGCCTCCCAAAGTGCTGGGATTATAGGCGTGAGCCACCGTGCCTGGCCAACACTATCCATTCTAAAGAGGGTTCATGCTCTTCGACCCCAACAAAGAACGGTTTCCTTTGCGGTCGTGGATGGGTAAGAAATCAGCCTTGACCACCTAAGGGCGTAGCAGGGCTTCTGCATTAGGTGACAATTTTAATAATCCTCTGTTTTCCGTTCACACTTAGGAGTCTGTTTCTGCCCTGGGACAAGGACCCAGAGGCCACTTTGACGTTATAGAGCAGGCTGTGTCCTCCGTCATCCTGCTGTAGGGAGTGTTGTCAGCTTTCCCACCACCACTGGCATCTGGAAAGCTTGGTCTGTTTGTAGTGACAGGTCCGATTGCAGGGAACCAGGAGCGTGTCTGATGCATGAGGGCAGAGTTTCTACCCAGTTACCTGCAGTGTGGAGACGAGAGACGCGATCTAACCCTGCAAACACTTTTGAAAAAAAACTAGTGTATAAAAAGGAATTAGGGAATCAAACCTTTCTTAAGGGGCACAGAATAAGACAGTATACACCAGTGTGACCGAAGTTTTTATTTCTGCTGAAGAATTCAGCTAAAGTGCAGCTGCATGATCATAGCTCACGGGAACCTGGGTCTCCTGGGCTCAAGCAAGCCTCCCAGCCCAGCCTCCCACGTAGCTGGGACTACCGGTGGCCATCACCATGGCTGGTTAAGTTTTCATTTTTTTGTAGAGACAGAATTTTGCCATTTTGCCCCGGCTGGTTGCGAACTCCTGGCTTCAAGTGATCCTCCTGCCTCGGCCCCCAAAGTGCTGGGATTACAGGTGCCAGCCACCGCCCCTGGCCTGGCAGTTCTATTTGAATTGTTTTAGGGACTGCCATCCTGCTTCCCACGGTGGCAGCACTGTTTTACACTCCTGCCAGCAGCACCCAAGGGGTCTGGTTCTCCACATCCTTGCCCGCACTTGTGATTTTCTGTGTTTTGATAATAGCCATCCCGATGTGTGCGTGTTGTGAAAACTGTGATGTACGTAGAAAAGTGTAAAGAATAAGAGTGTGGACGCCCAGCCCGTCCCCTCAGGAAACGCTTGAAAGGCACCCAACCTCTTTCAGGATCCGTGTTCCATTCGCATTATTTTTTCATGCACCATTTTTGAACACAAGTTGCAGACATTTGAACACTGGCCCTAAAAACATCAATCAGCAAACTTCTGGGAATGAGGACACTCCCCGCGTCGCCGCCATCACAACAAGGCCTTCGGAAAACTCCACACAGCATCTAGCCTCCCACTCGCGCTCGGATGTCCCAGGTGCCCTCACTCGGTGCCACGCCTTGCCTTTCTGGAATCGTGCCCCAGCTTGTTAGAGTGGCACTGACTCTGCTGGGAGGATGTCCTGCCACCGGGGTTTGTCTTTTATAACAACTTGTCCCTCCTTCCCCTCCCTGGGTTTGTGATAACCTGGAGGTTAAACCTTAGAGCAGCCGCTCTTCACCTGGGGACTTTGCCCCAGGAGGCGTTGGCCAACTCTCTTGTGCCTGGAGGAGGAAGGCAGATTGTGCCTGGAGGGGAGAGGCTACGGGACGGAGCGGAGCGGGTTAGGTGCTCTGCCCAGTTCTCCTGCTTCTGCACGTCTCTGCCGCCTCTGCCTCCCTGCTCATTGCCCTCTCTGTTCCCGGCCTCTCCTCTCACCCTCAGAGTAAATGTCACATCCCAGAGGGCCACTGGTGCTCAGGCCACCTCTCACCCTCCCAGCCTGCTGTAACCTGGACCCCCAGTTTCCCCCATCTGCCCTGCCCAGGCCCCTCAGCTCCACACCCAGGACCCCAGGCCTGACACTCTTGGGTGTGGCTGCACGCCTAAGGGCAGAGGGCTTGGGTAGGGGGTAAGCGGGGGCTGTGGCCCTGCTGCCCCCGCTGCCTCAGTGGGAGAGGCCCTGTGGGCAGCCTGAGAGCCGAGGCCTCAGTGGTATTTCCTGGGAGGGCAGCCCCCAACCTCCTGCACCCACAGAGGGGCTGGAGCAGGACACAGGGTCGCTGGCCCCGTCCTCGGGAGCACCACAGGGCACAGGCCTGGCCTGGCCCGGCCGTAGCCCAGAGCTGACCTTTCCTTGTTGACTTGTGGTCCGGGACTTTCCAGGACAGGCTTCTTGCCACAGAGAAGGCTCCCGGGGAAACCCCAGGAGTGTGAAAGTGGAGCAGCCCAGGTCCCTGCCCTAGAAGAGCCACCAGGAGCCAGGACACCCCCTCCCGGGGACCCCTCCCACCCTCCAGCCCCAGCTTGACCCCAGACCTCTGCCCTCAGCCCCCTGGCTGTGTCTGAGCACCTCTGCCCCAGGGTCTTTGCACGGACCGTTCTGCCTGGAAAGTTCTTCCCGAGATCTGCTGAGGCGGCTCCTCCTCGGCCGCACGCTCCCTGAGGCTTCTTCACCCGCGCACACACGGGCACCGCCTGCCTCCCGGTCTCCTCTCCCCAGAACCTTAGCTCCAGGGTGCAGGGACTCGCCCACGTGGTTCCAGCCCAGGGCCTGGCCCGAGCAGGTGCTCCCTCTGTGCTTGTTGAATGAAAGCGAAGTGACCAACAGCACAGACTTTTTCCGAGGAAGAGAGAGAGCAGAGAGCAAAGCAGAGGCCTGAGGGACCCTGTGACCCCCAAGCCCACCTGGCTGGTTCCCTGCAGACAGCCCTGGCTCCTGCACTGCTGCTTTTCCCCGCCAGGGACCAGGCCCCCACCAGCCAGGAGCCCGGGACACGTCCATGTTCTGGGACTTGACCTTCGTCTCCCCACAGCCTGCATTTCCACCCTGCCTGGCCGCAGCTCTGGTTGGTGGGAAGGGGCTCCAGGCGGCCCCGCTCTGCTCCGGTACGTGCAGACATCTGGTGTGCAGTGACCTTCATCCCAAGCAAGGCCTAGAAAGGGGGAAATCGAGGCAGCATAGAGAGCCGGCCCAGGGCAGCCTTCTGGGCTGGAGCATGGGGGTATGAGGGGGCTGCCGGTGTGGTGTGGGTGGCCCGTCCCCTGGTGATGAGTGTGTGGGATGGCGCTCAGCCTCTGCCTCTGCGGCCTGCTCAGTGGGCCCTCCCACTCCCCTGGAGACGTCTCTGTGTGCTTGTGTTACCAGAAAGGAGTCCTGATCCAGACACCAAGAGAGGGTTCTTGGACCTCACACAGGAAGGAGTTCAGGGTGAGTCCAGAGAGTCAAGTGAGAAGTTTATTAATAGAGTAAAGGAATAAAGAATGGCTACTCCAGAGGCAGTGCGGAGGGCTGGGCTGCTCAGCTGAATATTCTTATGCTTATTTTGGTCATTTCTTGATTATATGTTAAACAAGGAGTGGATTATTCATGAATTTTCTGGGAAAGGGTGGTCAATTCCCAGAACTGAGGCTTCCTCTCCTTTTTAGACCGTGCAGGGTAACTTTCGGACGTTGCCATGGCATTTGTGGACATGGCGCTGGTGGGAGTGTCTCTTAGCAGCTAATGCATTAGAATTTGTGTATAATGAGTGGCGAGCACGACCAGAGGTCACTCTAGTCACCATCTTGGTTTTGGTGGGATTTGGCCACTTCTTTACTGCAACCTGCTTTATCGGCAAGGTCTTCGTGACTTGTATCTTGTGCCAACCTCCTGTCTTGTGACTAAGAATGCCTTACCCTCCCGGGAACGCAGTCCAGCAGGCCCCAGCCTCATTCCACCCAGCCCCTATTCAAGACGGAGTCGCTCTGGTTCAAACACCTCTGACAGTTGGACAAGTTGGTGACAGCCAGGAGGGCCCGATGTGGACATGTGACAGGCACCCTGTGGCCATCAGATTCTCAGGAGGAAGAAATCCCCTTCTGAAATAAAGCACCCTGAGAACCGGCGGGAAGGAGCGGGGACTCCGTCGGGGCTTTCCAGGGAAGCAGCCAGGGACTTGCCCTGATTTTGGTTTCTCCAGGTTGGAGCCGCCCCGCAGGCTGCCTCTGCCGGCGGGAGGAAGTGAGCAGCTCCTGCGGAACCTCTGGCTGGCACAGAGCCCGGGGGCGGGGGAGCCCTCCCTGCCAAGAGAAGCCATCAGGTGCAGAGGACAGCACTGACTGGGCCAGTGGGGCGTTCTCCAGCTGGGTCAGCCGTGGCCCCCGCCTCGGGCTGGAGTCCGGCAGGCAACTGCTGCAGAAACGGAGGCAGAGGCAGGTGGAGGAGCCGCCTCCAGGCGGAGGAGCCCCAGCAAGATGGGGCGCTGGAGTTGAGCTCAGGCTGTCAGCCCCAGAATCCAAGCTCCTTGCCCTCGTGCTAACCCAGCCTCACTAACTGGCAGCTGGGGGCACCCTCCCAGCCTGCCAGGGACACCACACTGGGCACACACCACTTCGGCTGCAGGACCCCATCCTCACTGGCTGTGGCGGGAGACTGGTGAGCCGTCCTTGTAGACGGGACTCCCCCTAGAGTCCTGAAGGACTGTCCTGGGGGCTGGGGAGCTGCTGGAGGCAGCAGCCTGGGCCAGGAGATCACTGGGGTGGTGAAGGGGAGAGGGTTAGGGCTTCGGTAGGGGGACCCCCTATAGACCAGACAACGGATTCCACAGCCACCACCCCCACCCCTGGCTGACCTCACCTTCTGCAAGGGACCCAGTCCTGGACAGGGTCACTGAATTGCTGCCCCCTAACCTGTCCCCACCCACTGGAGACCTCAGCCTGCCCTGCTCACCCTGGCACCGGCCAGCCTGTCCACGCTGGGTGCCCAGGGCGGGAAAACAGGTGCGGGTTCCCATGACTGCATCTCAGGACTCCTGTCTGCGCCCCTTCTTGGCGTGTCTTTAAATGTCTTTGTTAGGCCGCTCATTATGATCCCTCCTGTTTTAATGGAAAAATCTTGTAAACACTGGGAGGACCAGTGGTCTTTTTCTTTCTTAAATAGAGATGAGGTCTCACTATGTTGCCCGGGCTGATCTCAAACTCCTGGCCTCCAGCGATCCTCCTGCCTTGACTTCCCGAAGTGCTGGGATTCCAGGCGTGAGCCACTGGGCCCGGCCTAAATTCTTCTTCTGTACTTGCTGGTTTTCCCAAAATGTGCACACACTGATGTTAGAATCGGAAAGAGTATCACTCCTGTGACAGCAGTGGGAAGGTGTGTGTTACAGCCACAGGTGTCCACAGGATAGAATCTCACAGCAACAGACGTGCTAATGTGGGCACTGGAGGTTGCACCCTATACCGGGCACTGCCCATCCCTCCCCAGTTCCCAGACCAGCTACGCCAGGGATCTGGAGTCCCCTTCCATGAGTGTGACGAGGACAGGTGAGGTCTCCTGAGTCCTTACCAGCAGGTCAGGCACCCTGTTGAGTCGTCTTCAGAACCCTCAAAAGTGCACGCCCCTGCCCTGTGGGTCTGGGCCACGATCCTGGGACACAGTTCTGAATGCTGACATCCTGAAAGATCAAAATCCCAAAATTATAATTCTGGAAAAACTAATTCGAAAACATTCTGTAAAAGACATTTGTTTGGCCGGGCGCGGTGGCTCATGCCTGTAATCCCAGCACTTTGAGAGGCCGAGGCGGGTGGATCACGAGGTCAGGAGATCAAGACCATCCTGGCTAACACAGTGAAACTCCGTCTCCACTAAAAATACAAAAAATTAGCCGGGTGTGGTGGCGGGCGCCTGTAGTCCCAGCTACTCGGGAGGCTGAGGCAGGAGAATCGCTTGAACCTGGGAGGTGGAGGTTGCCCTGAGCCGAGATTGTGCCACTGCACTCCAGCCTGGGCAACAGAGCGACTCTGTCTCAAAAAAGAAAAATAAATAAATAAATAAATAAAATACATTTATTTATTTATATTTTAAGGGGGATTTGAGAAACTGAAAAACACGACAGCACCCCTCATAGGCGACTTTACCCAATAAAGTCGGTGATCATAACATTTTCTCCAGCACAGACACACAGGTGTGCTCATTCAGTCACGTGGATATGAGTTATGTGCAGATGAACCATTCACAGAGAAACTGGTCAGAACACCAACATGTTAGGTTTTGATCTTTCAGGAGCTCAGGATTTGGGATGACGGTGTTCGGGGTCAGGTCTTTTGAGGTTCTGATCAGCGCCGCCTCACCGCGCGATACCAGTGCAGAACGGGGAGACCCAGGTCGTCCAGGAGCTGGACTCCAGCCGGGACAGTCTGTCTGTGTCAGAGCCCGGGTCCCTCATGGGGCACTCAGCCTTCACTCGGGTTTCCTGCAAAAATGGAGAGCTTTTTTTCAAGTAGGGATGCCAAGGATGGCAGGCATGAAGCGGGCAGGCAGAGGTGGGAGCTAGTTAGCAGCATCTCCAATTACCGTGATGGGCAGAAAGAAGGTTCTAGACAACAGTGTCTTGATGAGGTCAAGAGGAACTGAAACCCCCACCCCACTTCCCCTGCCCCATCTGGTTCTGGGAAAGGGGAAATGCAGGTGCCGGCTGTGCGTGGGTCAGTGGCCCGCCCCCGCCTCTCTGCCTCGCGGACGTCCAGACTTCCGAGGCCTGGCTGTCTGCAGGGCGGCCATTGCTGTGCGCGCGCGCGCGGGCATGTGCATGGTTCAGGGAAGAGGCTGCATTTCACAGAGACTCTGTCCCAGGAGGTAGGCATTTTTTCTTTTCTTTCTTTCCTTCCTTCCTTCCTC
This sequence comes from Homo sapiens, assembly GCF_000001405.40. NCBI lineage: Eukaryota > Metazoa > Chordata > Mammalia > Primates > Hominidae > Homo > Homo sapiens. The sequence goes on from NC_000021.9 coordinate 44,175,578, forward strand.
CCTTCCTTCCTTCCTTCCTAACTTCCTTCCTTCCTTTTTCTTTCTCTCTCTTTTCTTTTCTTTCTTTCTTTTTTTTTGACAGAGTCTTGCTCTATCGCCCAGGCTGGAGTGCAGTGGCGTGATCTCGGCTTATTGTAACCTCCACCTCCCAGGTTCAAGCAATTCTCGTGCCTCAGCCTCCTGAGTACCTGGGACTAGGGGTACGCACCACCACGCCCAGCTAATTTTTGTATTTTTAGTAGAGATGGGGTTTCACCATGATGGCCAGGCTGATTTCGAACTCCTGGCCTTAAGTGAGCCTCCTGCCTCGTTCTCCCAAAGTGCTGGGATTACAGGCGTGAGCCACCATGCCCAGCCGGCATTTTCATCTGGACTCTGCCATGGGGCTCAGCAAATCAGATGTGACCTGGTGACAGGTGCCAAGAAGGTCTGGCGACCACAGGTTTCTTGTCGGTTTCTGCCTGGGACCCCCGCACCTCCCTACCAGTATTCCCAACCCAACGAAAGACCGGCCAAGTACAAACCAAGGGCAGCCCTGAAGCCCAGGACCATGAGGCCTGGAAGGCCCCAGGACAGGTGATTTGTGGCCCTGGTGTCTCAGGTCAGGAGCAGGGCAGAGCCACCTTCCTCCCTCCCTGTGCGGGGCTGCATGAGCTCAGGGACCTTTGGACCTGAGAAAGGTCAGGCTCACTTCCTCCCCGTGCCTGCGGTTGGCCGCAGGGGGAATATTCTCCTGACCCGAGTCCCGAAGCCCTGGGCGTGGAGTTTCCCTGGACTGGGAGAAAGTAAACACCGAGGGACTTGCCAAGAGGAAATGGAGAAGCCCAGGTGTTCTGGGCGGAGCTGAGTGTCCCGCAGGGGGTTCCGCAGCTCCTCGCCTCTGGAAGACCAAGGACAGCTTTCCCCAGGGCTACAGCCTCACGCTCCCCTCCCATCGTGGCTGGGCCTTTACTTGGGGGTGAGTGTCCTACAGACGAGGGGCTTAAAGCTACAGGAATGCCTCGTCTCGCAGAGCTGGAGGCTGGAAGGCAGATCGGCCTGTGAGGGCCGCGGTCACTCTTGGTCCTGAGCCCTCCTTGTCCGGCTGCTGGTGTCACGGGCACTCCTTGGGGTTCCTTGGCTTGTGGGAGCATCGCGCCGGCCCCGCCTCTGTCATCAGGCCGCCTCCCCTTCTCTTCTCGAAGGACACCTGCTACGGCGAGGGCCTCTCCAGGATGACCTCATCTCGTTCTCCACTAATCACAGCTGCAAAGATTTATTTCCAAATAAAGTCGCCTTCTTGGGTTCCAGGGGACCTGATTTTGGGAGGCGCTGTTCCCCCAGCACAGGGATACAGCAGGCCCTTGGCCTCATCGGACATCTGGTGCCCGCGCGCCCTCTCACTCACGTTGTCCAGGCCTCTGCCCTTCTCAACACCCGGACGTGGGCGTTCAGGTGTCCTTCCTGCCCTGGCGTATGCCCCACTTAGCTGAGTGGGGGGCTTAGACCTCCGCCCCATCTGCAGTCCTCCTGGGGCCTGCCAATCAGACCCCCTGCAGCTGCATGGTCTTGGGGCATTGCTGTAAGGCCCTGGGGCCTTTCTGAATCCATCTGCAAGCTGGAGCTGAGTCCAGGAGCTGAGGCCGGGAGCAGGAGGTGAGGTTGCTAGCTGAGGCTGGGAGCAAGAGCTGAGGCCACTGGAGCTGAGGCTGGGAGCTGAGATGTGGAGCTGGGGCTGAGGCTGGGAGGAGGGGTTGAGGATACCTGGAGTTTGGGAGCTGGGCTGAGAGGCCAGGGAGGAGAGCCCTGCCACCACCCTGCTGCCCCCCCTCGCCACCCCCCTGCTGCCACCTTGCTGCCACCCTGCCTCCTGTTCCCAGCCCTCTGGCCAGTCCCTGTGTTCGTTTTCTGTTTTCTACTTACCAGAAACTTAGCAGCTTGAAACAGCACCCGCTCGGCACACATTCCTTTTGGGAGTGTGAAATGGTGCAGCTGCTGTGGGAAATGGTCTGGTGATTCCTCGCAAAGCTAAACAATTGCCATAGCACCCTGCAGTTCCACACCTGGGGATGCACAGCCAGAAATGAAGACGGGTGTCTGAGCAAAAACTCGGACATGAGTGTTCACAGCAGCGTTATTCACAGTAGCTAGAAGGTGGAAACAACCCAAGTGTCCGTGGACCGAGGAACAGATCAACAGGCCACGGCGCACGCACGACGGAGTATTGTGCAGCCAGAAAAAGGGTGAAGCTCCCTTACACATTATGGCGTGGGTGAGCCTCAGAAACATGGTGCTAAGTGACTGCGTTTATATAAAAAGCTTGCACTGATGTAAAGTGTCTAGAGTAGAGAAACCCAGGAGATGAAGTGGATTCGTGGCTTCCAGGGCCTGAGGGCAGAGGGAAGGGACCGGCTGCTGATGGGTCTCCGTTTGGGAAGATGAACGAGTTCTGGAGCTTGCTTGAGGCAGTGTCTGCACAACAGTGTGAGTGCACGGAATGTGGCTGAATTGGACTCTTTAAAATAGTTCAGGTGGGCAATGTTATGTTATGTGTGTTTTACTACCATACAAATAAGTAAATAAATGGACAAGCCTGCACCATCTTGTAGCTCACACCTGCAGGTCAGGAGCCGGCCTGGGTCCCCTGCTGGGGCCTCACCTGGGGCTCAGGCCTCCTCCCAGGCTGGTTCAGAATCCAGGTCCTTGTGGGTGTGGGACTGAGGTCCCCGTTTTCTCGCAGCTGTTGTCAGGGACTGCCCTCAGCTCCTAGGGCTTTCTCTCGGGTCCCTGCCTGGTGGCCTCTGGTGGCCCCTCCATCTTCAAGCAGCAGGGGCCGGTGGAGTCCCCCCATGAGTGGCTCTTTCTGGCCATCCCTTCTGCACCCGCCAGAGGAAACTCCGCTTCTAAAGTGTTGGTGTGATGAGGTCAGGCCCGGAGGCACCTCCCTGTTTTAAGGTCAGCGGGTTGGTGAACTTCACCATGCCTTCAGAATCCCTCTGCCACACAACACAGCCGTCTTGGGAGTAACACTGGAGGCAGAGACCACGGGCGACCTCCAAGATCTGCTTACAACAGTCGTTTCAACAGAGTTGAGTCAGCTTGGGGCTTCTCCGAGTGACTGTGCACAGGGGTCCTGGGGCTTCTCCGAGTGACTGCGCGCAAGCGTCCTGGGACTTCTCCAAGTGACTGCGCACAGGCATCCTGGGGCTTCTCCGAGTGACTGCGAACAGGCGTCCTGGGGCTTCTCTGAGCGACTGCGCACAGGCGTCCCTGGGGTCCCTGGGGTTAGGATGCTGGCGCTGGCTCAGCAGGTCTGGGAAGGGCCAGGATTCCAGTGCCCAGGCTACCGTCCAGGTCCACACCATGCCCCAATGGACGCTCTCCAGCCCCTCCCTGAGGCTGGGGCCATGGGATGAGCTCAGTGGCATCCAGATCAGAGTCCACCCCCTCCACACCTTGCCATGGTCCTGATGTCACCAAGTGCATTGTAGCCCTAACCCTCGTGGACCCCCCTTCATGGGGTGGTGCAGGCAGCGTGTTCTCTGAGGGTAAGGACAGGGCCCAACAGGGGCTGCCCCAAGGAGCCAGTGGAGCCATGGTTCCCCACCTGCCCACTCGTCTGCCCACCCTCCCCTGAGTGGAGGCAGAGGAGCTGAGAACGGCCTGCCGGCCAGCCCTGGGAAAACCAGGTTCCTTATGGTCTGCTCAGCCATAGAGCCGGAGGCCCCTCCCAGCAGCCCCTGCCTGCCCACTCTGCCAGAGCTTCTCCATGCAACTTTTCTGCAGCATAGTCCTGTTGCACAAACACCTCTCTCTGCTTTTTCCTTTCTTTTTTTTTTTTTTAATTTAACCATATCTGCTGTATCATACAAGCACTCAGGATCTTGGTTGCAATGAATGGAAACCTATGCTAAATAACTTTCTCAGAGGGCTCTTGGGGCTCTGGAAACCAGACAGAAGGCTGGAGAATGAGGGCTGGGCATAGGCAGGTCCAGGGAGGCCAAGAGGGCAGCCTGGCTGTGAGGCAGCTGCTGGTACAGCCCAGACTGTCCCTGCTTCTGGGTCACTTGCTCCAGACCCAAAGTTCTGCCCAGGAATGTCTGGTGGTCAAACTCCAGCCATGTGGCTCCCTCTTTTCAGAGGTGAACTCAGTCTTCACTGATAAGGGTAAGGTTCCTGGTGAATCCTGCAGCTTGAATGTCCATCCCCATGAATCCGAGCTGAGCCTGCAGGGCTCCCAGCCCCAGGCCTCCACGGAGAGGAGATGAGCCAGCCCTGCTGAGCCCTGCCCAAACTGCACATGCGTGAGTTAAAGAAACGGCTATTACTGTTTAAAGCCATGCAGTGTTGGGCTGGTTTGTTAAATTGAAATAGATTACCCAGGCTAGGTGCAGTGGCTCACACCTGTAATCCCAGCATTTTGGGAGGCTGAGGCGGGTGGATCAATTGAGGTCAGGAGTTTGAGACCAGCCTGGCCAACATGGTGAAACCCCATCTCTACCGAAAACTATAAAAAATTAGTTGGTATGGTGGCATGCACCTGTAATCCGAGCTACTTGGGAGGCTGAGGCAGGAGAATCACTTGAACCAGGAGGTAGAGGTTGTAGTGAGCCGAGATCGTGCCACTGCACTCCAACCCCAGTGACAGAGTGAGACTGTCTCAAACAAACAAAAATCACCCAACACCACAGATGATCATCAAGTTCATGAAGACGGACCTTCAGTTTGCAGGGGCTGTGTGTCCATTTCATTGGCTTGGGTCTCCTTTTTTATCCTCAAGGGACTCCCAGGTGTTCCGATGCCCTGGCACTGAGGACTCAGGCCATGCCCTGGCCCACACCCTGCCCTGCATGTGTTGCAGCCTGAAGTGGTCCACTGGGCCTGGCATGTCTCAAAAGCCAAAAGGGAACAATGCTTCCCGGCTCCACATTCAGTGACAGCACGTCAGCAGCTGGAAGCCAGCATCAGTGGGGGTGTTTACACCATGGGAATGGGCCCACTCCACAGACTAGCGCTGTACCAAGAGAGCCAGTTTGGTTTCTGGGGGTCGTGGGGTTAGGTCCTCATGCTTCTCTCGGACCCACCCCCTAGAAATGTCCCCACCCAACCCCCACTGTAGCCTGGATGGACGGGGATGAGCTCTGCGGGGCTCCCGCCTGAGCCATCTTGTCTTCAGCTGCGTTTGGGCTCTGAGCTCCAGCCATGCTGGCTCCATGACCCAGGATGGGATTCATGCACTAACGTGAAGAGAGCAATCTCCTGAACAGAGGAAGGAGTGGGCCCTGGAGGAGCCGTGGCCCTGGGTGGTGGCACCAGGCAGCTGCAGGACCAGGGGCAGCGGTGAGGCACGAAGCCTCAGACTGGGTGTGGTTCCCACTCGTTCTTGCCGGAGAAACCTGCCTTTTCAAGCATAATTCAATCAAAAGGCCTTTTGTGGAGCCCAAACTAGAAGGCTTTGGGTTCCAGCACTGTGCCTCAGTTTCCTCATCTGGAGCATAAGGATGGGACCGTCACTGGGTGTAGATGTGGGGTCCCGGGAGGCGTGCAAGGGCCATGTTTGGGCAGGTGCCTGGAATGGAGGAGGCCTTGGTAAGTAAGCATTCATGAGCGAACCTCCCCTCTGCCGGCTCACATGTCCCACTCCCTCACATGTGGGCCAGTGTGTTGTCACCCTCTCTGCAGTGAGGAAACTGAGGCCCAGCCCAACGGCAGAGCCAGCCCAGCTGTCTGGGCAGCCCGACTCCAGAGCCGGGCAGGGAATTGCCTCCTTTCACGTTCAGGGTGACTATGCCAGTGCTCACAGTGACGGGTGGGCCGGGGCCAGCTGGCCTAGGGTCTGCCTTGCCATCTGGCGACACCATATCGCTCTTCCATCCTGGCATTTGGATTTTGTTACCAACAGCTTCACCAAACCGCCTTTCATGACACCCAGGACAGCCACGAGGCTGCCCCTGCCCCTGCCCTGCCTCAGTGGGACTCACAGCAGCTCAGAGGCTGGAGGGAGGTCTGGAAGCCCCTAGTGCTCAGTAGAGCAGTGAGATGGGAGAGAAGCAGCTGGGGAAGGAGGCCAGGTGAGCCTGGTGGGAGGCCTCTCAGTTTCTGCACACTTGGGAACATTCCAGAGTGACTGGCATTTCCCATGACTTTCTCTGGGATGAAGTGAGGCTGAGAATGTGAAGTTCCCAAGGGTTACAGACGCTTACTGTTGCAGACACAAATGACTACGCATTCCATCACGGGACAGTTTTCCTTTGGAAAGAGAATGACCCAATTTCCTTTTTTTCTAAAACTTAAGTCATTCTGCCAAATTTCAACATCCTAATTTTAAATCACTGGTAGAACCTCGATCCTGAAGTCTATCTTGGCCTCACTACAAGACCCCCAAAGAGCCGTCATCCCTGATAAGGTGGTTTTAAGTTTTAGTGATTGTTATTTTGCAATTCTTAGATTTTATTCACAAAATCCACGTGGACTCAATTCTAGCTCAAGCCATCTCCATGTCCCCGGCCACCACTGCCTGCCTGCCCTTCCCTGTTTATGGGTCTTTGTTTGGAGTCACCTCTTGTTTGCCTCAAATAATTAATTTTGAGTTGCTTTTTCGGGAAGGAAATGTTCTTGGTGCAATTTCTGGCCTCTATGTAGCTGAGAATGTTTTTTCTGTTGCCTGGACTGGTGCAGCGGGTCTCCCTATAGTGACCCGGCCAAGCACAGAAGTCTGGGTTTGCAGCTGTGAGACTCCAGACATCACCCCATGGTCTCCTGGCGTTGGTGGGTTTGCAGCCATGAAGCTCCAGCTGTCGCCCCATGGTCTCCTGGCATTGGTGGGTTTGCAGCCATGAAGCTCCAGCTGTCGCCCTGTGGTCTCCGTGGTCTCCTGGCACAGGATGCTGCTGGGCTACTCAGTTTCTCTCTGTGCTTGTCTGGTGTTTTATGCTTGAAGTGGAAGATTTCCACCAGATTCATTTTCATTAATTTTGCTTGTCCCCGTGAGCCGTTTGATTAAATAGATTCAGATCTGTCTTCATTCTAGAAGTTCCTTCTCTTACATACTCTATGGCTGCACCGTTCCGGTTGTTCGAGTTTCTTTATCTGGAAAATTGCTCCTTCGCCCAGCAGGTTTCTGGCTTCCGTCCTCCATGTCTGCTTTCTCTCTCCTCATCTCTGCCTTCCTCCTCCCTGGGGCATGGGGTGTGGGGCGTGGGGCTGCCGCCGCCTGTGTCTCGGCCTCCTGGTCCGGCTCTGTGCTTGTGGGTGCTGTTCCTTCAGCTCCCAGTGCCTTGAAAGCTGCCGCTGGGTCTCTCCTGAGATCACCTCCTCACACCTGCCCTCAGCTAATTCATGCCCATCCACCAGCTCCTGTTCCATTCCCGTCTGTTTCATCTGATGTCCCACCAGCTCCTGTTCCATTCCCATATATTTCCTCTCACCAGCTCCTGTTCCATCCGCATCTATTTCATCTATTTCATCTGACTCCTCACCACCTCCTGTTCCATTCCTGTCTATTTCATCTGACGTCTCACCAGCTCCTGTTCCATTCCCGTCTATTTCATCTGATGTCTCACCAGCTCCTGTTCCATCCTTGTCTATTTCATCTGATTTCTCACCAGCTCCTGTTCCATCCCTGTCTATTTCATCTATTTCATCTGACTTCTCACCAGCTCCTGCTCCATTCCCGTCTATTTCATCTGATGTCTCACCAGCTCCTGTTCCATCCCCGTCTATGTCATCTGACTTCTCACCAGCTCCTGTTCCATCCCCGTCTATTTCATCTGACATCTCACCAGCTCCTGTTCCATTCCCGTCTATTTCATCTGATGTCTCACCAGCTCCTGTTCCATCCCCGTCTATTTCATCTGATGTCTCACCAGCTCCTGTTCCATCCCCGTCTATTTCATCTGATGTCTCACCAGCTCCTGTTCCATCCCCAGCTATTTCATCTATTTCATCTAACATCTCACCAGCTCCTGTTCCATCCCCAGCTATTTCATCTATTTCATCTATTTCATCTAACGTCTCACCAGCTCCTGTTCCATTCCCGTCTATTCATCTGACTCCTCACCAGCTCCTGTTCCATCCCCATCTATTTCAACTATTTCATCTGACGTCTCACCAGCTCCTGTTCCATCCTTGTCTATTTCATCTGATGTCTCACCAGCTCCTGTTCCATCCCCAGCTATTTCATCTATTTCATCTATTTCATCTGACATCTCACCAGCTCCTGTTCCATCCCCAGCTATTTCATCTATTTCATCTGACATCTCACCAGCTCCTGTTCCATTCCCATCTATTTCATCTGACATCTCACCAGCTCCTGTTCCATCCCCAGCTATTTCATCTATTTCATCTATTTCATCTGACATCTCACCAGCTCCTGTTCCATCCCCAGCTATTTCATCTATTTCATCTGACGTCTCACCAGCTCCTGTTCCATTCCCATCTATTTCATCTATTTCATCTGACATCTCGCCAGCTCCTGTTCCATTCCCATCTATTTCATCTGACATCTCACCAGCTCCTGTTCCATTCCCATCTATTTCATCTGACATCTCACCAGCTCCTGTTCCATCCCTGTCTATTCCCGTCTATTTCATCTGACATCTCACCAGCTCCTGTTCCATCCTCGTCTATTTCATCTGACCTCTCACCAGCTCCTGTTCCATTCCTATTTCATCTGACATCTCACCAGCTCCTGTTCCATTCCCATCTATTTCATCTGACATCTCACCAGCTCCTGTTCCATCCCTGTCTATTCCCGTCTATTTCATCTGACATCTCACCAGCTCCTGTTCCATCCTCGTCTATTTCATCTGACCTCTCACCAGCTCCTGTTCCATTCCTATTTCATCTGACATCTCACCAGCTCCTGTTCTATTCCTGTCTATTTCATCTATTTCATCTGATGTGTCACCAGCTCCTGTTCCATTCCCGTCTATTTCATCTGATGTCTCACCAGCTCCTGTTCCATCCCCATCTATTTCATCTGATGTCTCACCAGCTCCTGTTCTATTCCTGTCTATTTCATCTGCCATCTCACCAGCTCCTGTTCCATCCCCGTCTATTTCATCTGACGTCTCACCAGCTCCTGTTCCATTCCCATCTATTTCATCTGACATCTCACCAGCTCCTGTTCCATTCCCATCTATTTCATCTGACATCTCACCAGCTCCTGTTCCATTCCCATCTATTTCATCTGACATCTCAGCACCCAGTGCCTACACTTAATGATTTCCTGAATTTTTCCAGTGAAACTAGCGCCTAAATGTATTCTTTCTTCCTTCAGAAAGTGTTTTTAATCCGCAGGTTGAGTACTGTGTTTTCCTGATTTGATAAAACAGAATATTTTTATAGCTCTGCCAGTTTTCCTTTTCTTCCTCATGAATAATCAGTGTGATTCAGCTGGGACTTTCCCTGTTGAACAGGGAGAGTGGGTTTTTCCAGCCTCTCCTCCTTTTCACTCCGCTGTGGTTGAACTCCTACTTACTCTTTCGGCAGATGGTGTTTGCCAAGTTAGTTTTGCAGCTGCCTGGGGGTACTGGGGTGGAAGCAGCCCCGGGAAACCCCATGGGGGACTTTGTGTCTTTTACTCCATCACAGCGAAGCCACGGGGCTGGGCCAGGCCCTGCCCTTTGGGAACGGGCTCCTCCGGTGCTGGCCTTGGCCTTGGCCCCACTTCATCCTGGCCCCTGCCCAGGCTTCCAGCCCCTGCCCACAGCTGCCCCCTCCAGGGGCTGCCACTGTCCAGGTCAGGGAAGGCTCTTCCTACCTGGGGAGAGGACGCCCTGGCCAGGAACTGTCCCTCAGCTTTCTGTGGTCTCTGTGTCCCCCGTGCCCTCCGGGTGCCCTGCTGGGGCCCTGCCTCCCCTTGTCGCTCAGCCTTCATGGTAGGGGCTGCGGGTCCCAGCGCCCCTCCTCCTCCTGGTCACTCACCTCCCACTGAAGCAGCCCCGTCCGCACCAGTGTCTGGGAAACCCCAGTGAGGCCCCTCCCTGCCAGACCCCAGGTGTGGGGGCTTCTGCTCCACCTGCTGCATCTGCCACGGGGCCCTTTGGAGAAAGTGTTTTACCCAAAGAGGCGAGTCCTGGTGATGCTGGAGCCTGGCCCTCATTGCTGTCAGCCCCCAGCACCTGGTACAAAGGCCACTCATCCCAGTCTCTGAGCCCTGAAGACAGCGGAGGGCAGCCTGAGACACAGGACCCTCTCCCACCAGCTCCAGGGGCCAATGCCAGCCTGGCCAGCGGCCGGGACCAGCACAGAGGCTGTGGATGGGGAGGGTGGTGCTGGAGGCAGGGGGCATGCTGGCGGTCTTTTGGGGGTGGTGGACAGCCCCACACCCTGCTTGCAATGGTGCGTCAGGCAGTGGCCCCTGGTGCCGGCTGCTTCCCCAGCAGTGACCTTGGCTTCTCTTCTGCAAGCCCCTGCCTGCCCCGAGATGCCAAGCCCCAGGATCCACCAGAACTGCCCTCGCTGCCTATGGCCCCGAGCGCCCACCCTCGGGGCTGGACCTTTGCAGGAGGACAAGCCATGCCGGCCTCAACTAGCGGAGACCTCTGTGGCCACCTACGGGTCCTCTGCACTGTGCGTGGGGCAGTGGGGACGGAGCTTCCTGCCCCCCGGGGCCTGCTCTGCTCCTGCTCCTTGGACCTGGAGGAGCCATATCCACACAGACATGCACGACAAATGCGGCTGCAGACACGCGTGATGAATGCAGCATGACAAGCCAGACCCAGGATGGTGCCTCTCCCCGGACAGGAGCACTGGCCCGAGCCTGGCCCTGGGTGAGCTGCACAGCCGTTCCCTGCCTCGATTTCCCATCTGAAATCAGAGCACTCCCTCCACAGGCTGGCGCGAGGACTAAGATCGGGGTAGACCCGTGACCCTAGGGGAGGGTCCCCACAGGCATGAGCTCCTTGGCTTTGTTTCACGACGATCGTGAACACCAAGCAGGCGTAAAGCATCCCGCAGCGTTTAGGCCCTACCAGAGCATAGCCTTGGCTGATGTGGTCCTCACCCACCGTGCCTGGCATGACATCTGCCGGCCTATGCTGAGAGGCCGAGAAAGGATGAGGGGTGGGGAGGGTATTCTCTGCATCTGCCCTCCTGTCCACGGGACACCGGGCCCTGACCTCTGACAGAGGTGAGCATGGGTCCCAGGTGGGCCCATCCGAAGCCTGCCTCAGGAGTGTGAATCTGTGGCTAGGGCCACTTTCCCAGGACACCTGGACATCAGCTGGCTGAGGTCCCCACCCCTGGAGGCTGGATCAGAGGGGGCCAGAGGGGAAGGAGGCAGTGTCCAGCCCCTGAGAGGAGCAGGGAGGAGGGATGAGGCCAGAGTCCGAGGCTGGCGGGCCACCCGGGGGCCACTGCTCCAGGCCTGGTTTGGGATCACAGATCACCCTGCTGACACGCTCCCTGTCAGCATCTGCACGGAGGAGTTTGCTGGCTGTGGCCTGCAGCCCACACATCCCAACCACAGACACGCTCTTTCCCCACCTTTTGGTCCCTCTAACAACTCAATGCCCAGAACTTTCTATTGCCCAGGACTCTCAGGGTCCCTTCGGAGGCCGGACAGACCCTCCCCTCCCCAGGCCTTCGTGCAGCCCCTGCTGCATGCCAGGCCCACCTTGGTGAGGCTGTGTCGGGCTGAGCTCCTGGTCATTCTGCAGCTGGCTGGGCCCAGCTCCCTTTCCAGTTGCCCTCAGGCCACCCAGGAGCAGCTGCGTAAGGATTGCTAAGCCTGAGTTATCTGCATCTTTCTTCTTTCACTAATTTCTTTCTTTTTTTTTTTTTTTTGAGACAGAGTCTCACTCTGTCACCCAGGCTGGAGTGAAGTGGCGTGATCTCGGCTCACTGCAACCTCTGCCTCCCGGGTTCAAGTGATTCTCCTGCCTCAGCCTCCCAAGTACCTGGGATTACAGGCACCCGTCAACACACCTGGCTAATTTTTGTATTTTTAGTAGAGACGGGGTTTCACTATGTTGGCCAGGCTGGTCTCAAACTCCTGACCTCAGGTGATCCACCCGCCTCGGCCTCCCAAAGTGCTGGGATTACAGGTGCGAGCCACTGCTCCTTGTCCACTAATTTCTTTTTCATGCTGATAGATGTCCTGTTCCTGAACCATCTTTGCATTTCTAAAATAAACCACCTGCTTGGGGGTGGTGTGTGATGATTTTGACACATTGGTAGTATATTTTTGCTAATATTTTATCCAAACTGTTTGCATCTATAGGTACAAGCAACATAGCTTTATCATTTTATATGCTCCCCCCCACCACCTTTTTTTGTTTTGAAATGGAGTTTCGCTCCTTTTGCCCAGTCTGGAGTGAAGTGGTGCAATCTTGGCTAACCGCAACCTCTGCCTCCCAGGTTCAAGTAATTCTCCTGCCTCAGCCTCCTGAGTAGCTGGGATTACAGGCACATGCCACCACACCTGGCTAATTTTGTATTTTTAGTAGTGACAGGGTTTCTCCATGTTGGTCAGGCTGGTCTCAAACTCCTGACCTCAGCTGATCCACCCGCCTCGGCCTCCCAAAGTGCTGGGATTACAGGCTTGAGCCACCGCACCTGGCCCTATATGCTCCCTTGACAAAAGCTATGCCTTCATAAATAGGAGGTTTCCCATCTTTTTCTGTGGCCTAGAAAAGTTAGAATTATCTTTTTAAAGGTTAAATAAAATTCAACTGGTCTGCACTTTCCTTAAAGATAAATATCCATCACCTTTCTAATTTCTCCTGTGGAAGGCGGACTATTCGAATATTCCAGTTCTTCTAGGATTGAGTTTGGTGATTTCTATTCTGCTGGAAAAGCAGCCCTCTCTGTTTTCATGGGGATGGACTTGACTGTCTTCATCAGTCCCAAAAGTCCCAGGGTGGACACTGCTGCCCAGCCTGGGTGAGATGCTCACCTTCAGCCACGTCTCGGGACAGGAGCTGGGGCAGGCACCAGCCTGGGTCCAAGGTCTCCCGGGACCAGCCTAGGTGGCCACGTGGCCGCCCTGCAGGAAGGATGGCTCTCCCTTGTGGTGCTGGGGAGGTGACTTCCATGACAGCGACTGTCACGGACACTTCTGGGAGAGATGAGAAGGGAACAGATGATTTTGGAGCCGTTCAGGTTTCACACACGGTTTTAGTCCCAACATTGCAGTCCTCATCGGCAAACGTGATCCCTCCCCCACCGCGTTGGAACATTCTGTACCAGGTTGTATCTTATTGTTTGAAAACAAGTTCTGCTAGTTAATTGGTTCGGGAGCAGCACGGGTAAGTAACCTCCCCATCTTCCCAACTTGGAATGTCTGCCTCTTTGTAGATGTATCATTGTTGATAGGCTTTTTATTAAAGTTAAATTCCCTTTATGTTTTTAACGTTTGATTATAATTTAATGTCTTCATTTTTCTTTTTAAGCATTTCAAATACCTGACAGGAAACATTTGCAAAACAGACAGCCAGACTTGTCAAACACTTAAATTACTCTTATCCTTTTAATAAATCAAGCTCATAGCAAACCAAATGCACTTAAACATTCTAATAGCTTCACAAACTTAGTTACTGAACATCTCCCAGCTTAAAGTTATAACTCTAATAGAAATAATACATTATCCCTAAACTGTACTTTAAAAATGACTATGCACTTTGGGAAGCTGAGGCAGTGGGTCACTTGAGACCAGCCTGGGCAACGTGGTGAAACCCCGTCTCTACTGAAAATACAAAAAGTAGCCGGGTGCCTGTAGTCTCAGCTAGTTGGGAAGCTGAGGTGAGAGAATCACTTGAGCCCAAGAAGTTGAGGCTGTAGTGAGTAGTGATCACACCACTGCACTCCAGTCTGGGCAATGGGAATGAGACCCTGTCTCAAAATAGTAATAATAATAATAATAATAATAATAAATAATGACTGATACAAAGAGTTGGCTCACTGAATTATTTCTAGTAAATTTTTGTTTGTTTCTATATAGTATGGTTTATTGCTGACTTTGACATATCTGTAAAGAATTTAACATTTTGGCCAGGCACGGTGGCTCACGCCTGTAATCCCAGCACTTTGGAAGGCCAAGGCAGGTGGATCATCTAAGGTCAGGAGTTCAAGACCAGCCTGGCCAACATGGTAAAACCCCATCTCTACTAAAAATACAAAAATTAGCCAGGCATGTTGGCAGGTGCCTGTAATCCCAGCTACTCGGGAGGCTGAGGCAGAAGAACCACTTGAACCTGGGAGGCGGAGGTTGCAGTGAGCCGAGATTGTGCCATTGCACTCCAGCCTGGGTGACAAAATGAGACCTTGTCTCTGCCAATTAAAAAAAATCATATTCTGGGCCGGGCGTGGTGGTTCATGCCTGTAATCACAGCATTTTGGGAGGCCAAAGCAGGAGAATTGCTTGAGTTCAGGAGTTCAAGACCAGCCTGGGCAACATAGCAAGATCTGGTCTCTATATTTAAAAAATAATAATAATCATGGCTGGGCACGGTGGTTCACACCTGTAATCCCAGCACTTTGGGAGGCTGAGGCAGGTGGATCACTTGAGGCCAGAAGTTTGAGACCAGCCTGGCCAACATGGCAAAACCCTGTCTCTACTACTGAAAATTAGCCGGGAATGGTGGCACACGCCTATAATCTCAGCTGCTTGGGAGGTTGAGGCACGAGAATCACTTGAACCCGGGAGGCAGAGGTTAAAGTGAGCCAAGATTGTGCCACTGCCCTCCAGCCTGGGTGACAGAGCGAGACTCTATCTCAAAAAAAAGTAAAAATAAAATAATCATATTCTGCATATTCATCCCATATCAGATACACAATTTGCACCTACCTTCTCCCATTTCATGGTTGTGTTTTCACTGTTCAGTGTCCTTGGTGCACAGATGGTTTAAATTTAATGTTTTTTTCTGTTGCTGCTTGTGCTTTTGGTGTCATATCCTAGAAATCACTGCCAAAAGCAATGTTGTCAAGCTTTTCCCCTGGGTTTTTGTCTGAGAGTTCTATATTTTTTGCTGTTACATTAGGGTTGTTGGTCTGTTCTGAGTTAGTTTTGGTACATGGTGTGAGGTAGGGGTCCAGCACTATTCTCTTGAGCGTGGAGATGGTGATGGGCTTTTCTGAGAAGAAGTAGTTACCCAGGATTTTTCCCTGTAGATGGCTCTGTGTTCTTGGTTTGCTTTGCCTCTGGCTGTAAACTACTGGCAGAGCAGACTGTGGACATGAGATCAAATGAAGGTTTAATGAAGACCATTTGTTTAACCTTGGCTTGGATTTGCAAGTAAACAGACTTAGAGACAGACCCAGACATCTGAAACCACTTGATTAGTCTATGAACAACACAAATTCCACACACAGATGGAAATTTGACCCTTGGAAACTTACCTTATGTGCTGCCTTATCCTCAGCTCCTAGCAGGCTCAATACTAACTTGGAAAATGGAAGGATTGTGGGAATCCTGCATCGTTGCTGCTCATGGACTCTACCCATTCCTAGCGGTTTAGAGGCTACCCAGCCGGCTCCTTCTGCCTGGCCTCCCTCTGCCTGTCTGTCCGTCCAGCCGGCAACACCGTCCTCGCTCCTGTCCTCTGGCCACGGTGGCCCTATCCCATGGCGTCACATGGGCACACATCTCTGTGTTCGTCATCCAGGCCAGGAGCCTCTTGTCTACTGGCCTTGGGACCTGGCTTGCTGTGTGCTCTGGGCCTGGGAGCCTCCCTCCATCCATAGACTCAGGCCGTGCTTATGCCCTGTGCTCACATGTGTGAGGGGGTCTGCAGTGCACGTGTGATGGGGTGTGTGTGGCACTCTCAGCTGCCCTTCCTGTCTTCTCTCCCCCGAGCCTAGGTAGTCCTCCACCATGTTGGGACGCAGGGCCCCAATAAGAGGGATCTTATTTCTCCTTTGCTTGTGAAGCTCAATTTGGCTGGATATGAAATTCTGGGTTGGAAATTATTTTCTTTAAGAATGTTGAATATTGGCCCCCAATCTCTTCTGGCTTGTAAAGTTTCTGCTGAGAGGACCACTGTTAGTCTGATTCCACTGCTGTCCCATCAGTGGCACAGGGCCCTCCATGTCCTTGGTGCACATTGGCCCCAAGGGACCCAGACAAGGTGGGGCTGGGTGGGGGCTGGCGTGGGCTGTGTACACCCAGGTCGAGCTGAGCCTGGCCCACATTGGGCACCTACAAGTCAGGAGGACCCCCACCCACCTGGTACTTACACATCAGGGGTTCCCAACCCCCGGGCCTCAAACCACTACTGGTCTGTGGCCTGTTAAGAACGGAGCCGCACAGCAGGAGGTGAGGATGGGGAGCAGTGAGCATTCCAGCCTGAGCACCACCTCCTGTCAGATCAGCGGCCACATTAGAGTCTCATAGGGGCGCAGGGGAGGGATCTCAATTGTGTGCTCCTTATGAGAATCTAATGCCTGATGATCTGAGATAGAACAGTTTCATCCCAAAACCATCCCCCTACCTGCATCCATGGAAAAATTGTTCTCCATGGAACTGTCCTGGTGCCCAAAAGGCTGGGGAGTGCCATTGTAGAGCACACAAGAAGCTCTGTGATTTGAGGCATCAGGATGGAGATGAGGGACAATGGTGTTATTTCAAAAGGCTGCATGCTGTTTGTCCTTCTTCCCTCAGGACGAGGTGTGATGAGCCAGAAAGTCTGATGGGGCTTCCCAGCACTATCCTAAGTCCTCCTCTGTAGGGCCTTGGGCTGCCTCTGGGCCAGGAGGCCACCACTCGGCCAGTCCCCCAGACCCCAGGGGCTGGGGCTGCTCCCTGCTGGGCTGTCTGGCTGGCTTTCCCTGCCTGCTCTGATGGTGAGTCATTCTGGGTCTCACTTGTGACTGAGTGGCTTCAGGACACAGGACACAGTTCACATCTCAGGGCTTTAGGCTCTGGGCTCTCTCTGGACATCTAGGGGCCAGGGAGGGACCTCAGGCCTTTGTAATGGGAGGCGACCCTTCTTCCCTGGACACACAGCTGAAAATAGACACCCCCCCGCCACCGTGCATGAGCACACGGGGGTCCCCACCCAAGGGTGTCATGTGATAGGATGAGGGCAGGGATACACAGCTCGGGCTGGTGGAGCGGGGTGGGTCTGGGCAGAGGTCCCTGGTGCTGGCCTCTGTGTTTGGCAGAGATGCAAAGGCAGGCAGGGAGGGGAAGCTTCGGAGTGGGAGAGCGGAGGCACAGGTGTGCCCTGGGAAGGCAGGCGGCCAGGCGTGGGGGTGGATCACCAGACAGCAGGGTTCCTATGGGATTGGTGAGGGCTGCACAGTGGCTTTCTCTGGTTGGTCCTAAGTTTAAAGCGAAGCCGGGTGCGGTGGTTCACGCCTGTAATCCTAACACTTTGGGAGGCCAAGGCCGGTGGATTACTTGAGGTCAGGAGTTTGAAAACAGGCTGGCCAACACGGTGAAACCCCATCTCTAATAAAAATACACAAAAAATAGCCATGCGTGGTGCCAGGCACCTGTAATCCCTGCTACTCGGGAGGCTGAGGCTAGAGAATTGCTTGAACCTGTGAGGCAGAGGTTGCAGTGAGCCGAGATCACGCCACTGCACCCCAGCCTGGGCAACAGAGCAAGATTCTGTCTCAAAAAAAAAAAAAAAAAAAAGTGGGAGCAAAAATTAGGGAAGCTAATTAATGAGTGAATTACATTTGTCATTTGATGTATTAATCCAGTCCCAGCTGTTTGGAGCTGATGGTAACAGGAGCTGTTGTTTAGCTTCCTGGATGCTCTCTGGAGATGACAGTCTCCCTTCCTATGACTCAACACAGCAGGCGGCCTCTGGGCTGCTTACCAGGGATGAGGGCGACCTCCCGGGCTGGTTATGGGGGCAGGGGGGAGGCCTCCTGGGCTGGGTGCTGCAGATGTGGGGTGGAGTTCCATTTTTATAGCTGGGCTGGCCGCTGTCCATGTGCACATTCAGTCTCTAACAACTAAAATTTCTCATCGTAAGTTTAAGTAGTTGCAAAGGATATAACTTCTGATATATTATAAAACCAATATGTAAGAAATAACCATGAAGTCACTCTTTTAAATGTATTCAAAACCCCAGTGATTTGATAGCCACCATTATCTGTTTTAAAAATACAGGCAAGCTGGGCGTGCTGGCTCATGCCTGTAATCCCAGCACTTTGGGAGGCCAAGGCCAGAGGATGACTTGAGCCCAGGAGTTCCAGACCAGCCTGGGCAACATAGCAAGACCCCATCTCTATAGAAGTAAAAATAAAAAATTAGCCATGGTGTGATGGCACGGGGCTGTGGTCTCAACTACCCGGGAGGCTGAGATGGGAAGATCACTTGAGCCCAGCAGGTCGAGTCTGCAGGAAGCCGTGATCACATCACCGCACTCCAGCTGGGATGACAGAGCAAGATCTTGTCTCAATTCATCCGTCCATCCATACATCCATGTGTCACTCAGTTTAAAAGAACAAAAACCAAAGAAATCTGAAAAGCTTACAACGAAAAGACGCTCAGTATTCTCTTCTCCTCCCTGGATTAGCTGGGTGGGCGCCAGGTCATCACAGGGTCCTTGTAAGAGGAAGGCAAGGGGTCAGAGTCGGGCAGAGGAAGCCAAGGTCAGAGGGGAGGAGAGGCTGCTGACTTTGAAGATGGAAGAGAGGCCTGAGCCAAGGGGTGCAGCGGATCCTAGAAATGGTAAGAGGGACACAGATCCTCCCCTAGCGCCTCCAGGAGGAGTGGAACCCAGCCAACACCTGGATCGGAGCTTCTGACCTCCAGGGCTATAGGAGAATAAATGTGTGTTGCTGAAGCCACTGACTAGTCAGCTACTGCAACCGTTGGAAACTACAGCTATTATCACAATGCCCATAAAACACGCTCCAGCAGCGTGAGAACAAAGACAGTTGTGTGGTGGTTATGAAACCTCACCTAACAAGACCATGTTTAAGAAAAGCCAAATAAAAACAAGAAGTAATTATTTAAGCGGTATCCTAATAAACGGCTTGCAAAAATATGTGAGCAAATGAAGTGGTCTCCATCCAGAACCTTGATGCTGGTATTTATTTTGCTACTTAAGAGAGTAAGAGGGCCATTTGGATCGTGTCATGGAGGGTGTTTCGACATCATGTTCCTGCTAGCAGTTGCAGAGGCAACACACTGGTCCAGGCTGTGCATCTGGGCTCCAGGCCGCTTCCCGTGGGGCAGGGCAGCTGCTCCAGGAAGAGGCTGAGAGCTGGGGTCTGGGTGACTGGGCTGGGATCTGCGCCGGGTGGGGAGGAGAAGCCCACCGCACTGGGGTTCAGGGGTTCCCAGAAGAGGAGACCAAAGCCATGCATGGTGCTTTGCAGCCTGAGTCTGAGCTGAGCTGGTGGGGGGACCCCAACACAAGGAGGACGCACCGGGTCACAAGGACTGTGCTCGCTGAACGTCAGGGACAGGGTGGGCCCTCCTTCCCAAAGCCATCAGTGCTCCCCACTGGGCCAGTGTCTGGCTCACAGCTGGGAGAGCTGGGAAGGGCTTCATGGGTCATGGGCACCCACCAAGGGCAGTGTTGCTGACCATATGGAGCCAGGAAAACCAAAGTTGCACATTTTTTTTTTTTTTTCCAGAACACAAGATTCCCTTAGAGTGTTGTTCTTCACGGTTCGTGATTTGGTTCAATTGTTACCATTCCTGATGCTTCCTCCTAGGAAACAAGAGTAAACCACAATGGCCTGTAAAACAAATATTAAAATCTCGCATGTACTCTTGGGACAGACGTCGTCTTGAGTGATGGCCTTCCCGGCCCTGACCAATGCCTGTGCACATCCTGAGTTTGTCTGAGAGCCAGAGACCCCCTCTGAGAAATGGGATGGCTCCAGCTGGGAAGCCCCCGCCCTGCCAAGGAATGTCACGAGCCTCAAGCAGATTTGCTCTTAGATATTTCTTTTTAATCGAGTCTAACAGTGATTGTTGAGCCGTCCTTCATTTTTTTTTTTTTTTGTAAGATGCCTCTGTCAAGAAGGAGCCACGAGTTGGCTTTCATGGAATGGGTGCTCTTGGTGGCCAAATAGAAATAAAACCTGGCTGTCTGGTCCTGATCCACTCACAGAAGTGGCGTAAACACCTTATTTATGATCTGGGACATTCAACACCATCTTATAAAAGATTCATAGAATACACATTCACACACCCACAAAAATCAAGAGAGCAGATTTTCCAAAAATAGGTGCAAGAAAGATCCAACTTCCAGGATAAAATTTTAGAACCAACATTTCCATTAGCAAAAGCGGTCTTGTCTAAAACTCTACCGACCGCGCTAAAATCCCATTCAAAACAGAGCTCTGGTTACGTAGATCGTGATCAATAATGAGAAACTGTGAGGCGTCCCCGTGGGATCTGACACTTCCTAGGGGAGCTTCTCTCCACTGGTAATAAAGATATAATTAGGAATTTCAACTACCTGTGATTTTGCCAACTTACGGCATTTGTTGAGAATTTCGGTCCCTGTGTTTATGCACACACCTTTCAACCTTAGATTTGACGGTGATGGGTTAGTAAATGTCAATTCTAAAGTGGTCGTTTTCAACCAGGGGCAATTTTACCCCTCAGGGGACACTGGCAGTGTCTGGAGACATGTTTGGTTGTCATGACTTGGGGCAGAGGTGCCACGGGCACCTGGAGGGTGGAGGCCGGGGTGCGGCTCAATACCCTAACCACACAGGATGGCCCCAGGACAAAGATGCCCCTGGTGCTGAGAGCAGGGCCCTGTTCTAAGAGATGGGTGGCTGGAGCCTGGCTGGAGGGCACTAGTGGCACTCTGGGCTGGTCTCCCAGGGCCCCATCTGCCAGGTCGGGGGCCCACGTGGGCCTGCAGGATGTGCGTGCTTCTCTGCTGTTGAGATTGCATCAGCACAACAGCCACAGCCGTGACACGGGGGCAGGCACCTCAGTGACGCCAGAGTCGGGGCGGGAGGTGTGGAGATCTGGGCTTGCTTCCTCTTTTCAGTCCCAGGACAGCTCCTCTTTGGCTGTGGGAGGCCCAGCTTCAGCCTTGTCTGTGGCTTCCTGGTGGGAGGACACAGGCCTTGAGGGACGTTTGTCCGAGACGGTCCTCATCCTACTGGTAGGGACACAGAGCACCTGTTCCTCTGGCCCCTCCAGGAGCAAGACACATGCACTGCTGAGGCCTTGGAAGCCTACACAGGTTTATCACCCACGGCCAGACCTGTCTGTCAGGGAGCAGGTGGGGTCATCCTGCCCTGAAGCACCGATGAGCTGATCCCGGTCATGCAGAGTGGGTGGGGACCTCTTGGCTGGGCCTGTTCATGTAGCACACACGGCTTTGCTGCCCATAGAATCCAGGGCCCCCAGTGTGAGCACCACTCTCCATCCCTGAGGCCGAGCCTTACCCTGGAGGCAGCCTCAGGTGAGATGCCCCTAATGGAGCCACCTGGCAATGGACCGCTCTCAGGTCCTTCAGCTCGGTGCACTCACCCGGGAGCCCTGCGTTCTGTCCTGGGGTAGAGGCTCAGGGTTGGTTTGAAGCCATATAGTCAGCTCCCAGAGTCACAGAAACGTCCAAGGAAGAAAACTGTCCGATTACAGACTTTTAAAATTCATTCATAGTTTAATCAAGAGAACTTGCTGTTCCTTCCTCAAATTTCCTAGAATTGGTCTTCTCATAATCACCACCTAGGGCACAGCTGTGGCCGAGGCTCCCATGATGAAGCGTCTGTGTCAGCGCTGACGAGGTCTGCCGAGGACGCGTTTCTCTCTGCAGCCCGGCACCAGTCTCAAGGCCATCGGCTCCGACAGCGTCACCTCCTGGGACCTTCCCTTCATGTATGGTCCCAGCGGCATGCGGGCCTGGTGGAGGAGGTCCTGGCCTGCCGCCCAGGGATGGCCGGTCCAGGCGCAGGGCCGATTGTCCACTTCTGGCCCCTGAGGTACCGGGAGGGCTGGTGAGCAGCATGTCTCGCTCTGAGACCGGCCAGGCTGCTGGGGCAGGCATCTGATGTACAGTAGTTCCCACACGTGGCAATGTCACCAGCAAGAGCCACGTATGATAAATTCAGGCCGTCCACCGTGGCAACACTGGGAAGGCTGATTCTGTAGGAAAGGATTGGCCTTGGGCCATCACTGTTCAAAGAAGAAGAAATCCCTGGATCACTGTCTGATCCAACTCCAGACAGACACTCCACACAGGATTCCTCCTGGGGATCACGGCTCTTCTCTTGGCGGAGAAGAAGGAGGGAGAATGAGCCCATGTCGGGGGCCTCTAGGCAGCCCGCCACAGCCCTACAACTCAAAGAAAACTCACCAGTCCCTGGTCACTCGGATGTCCTTGGAGGCGCTTGGATTTACTGCAGGGACCCCAAGAGTCGGCCACGGCAGAGCCCCGTCTGCCAGCCCACCGAGGACTCGGGGAGGGGAGGGAGCACTGCAGCAGAACGGAAAATGGGTCCACGCTCAGCTTCTTGGTTTATCATTTTAGACTTTATGCGTTGGCTTCCTGCGACAAATGGTTACATTTTAACCCTTTTACAACCACATTTCCTCCCCCAATCCTCTCAATGTCATGATTTTTCTTTTTTCTTTTTTCTTTTTTTTTTTTTTTTGAGACGGAGTCTCGCTCTGTCGCCCAGGCTGGAGTGCAGTGGCACAACCTCGGCTCACTGCAAGCTCCGCCTCCCGGGTTCACACCATTCTCCCGCCTCAGCCTCCCGAGTAGCTGGGACTACAGGCGCCCGCCACCATGCCCGGCTAATTTTTTCATATTTTTAGTAGAGATGGGGTTTCACCCTGTTAGCCAGGATAGTCTCGATCTCCTGACCTCGTGATCCGCCTGCCTCAGCCTCCCAAAGTGCTGGGATTACAGGTGTGAGCCACCATGCCCGGCCATGATTTTTCTTTTGGAAATGGAGTCTCACTCTGTCGCCCATGCTGGAGTGCAATGGCACAGTCTCAGCCTCGCCGCGCCCTCTGCTTCCTGGCTTCAAGCAATTCCCTTGCCTCAGCCTCCTATGTAGCTGGGATTACAGATGCGCGCCACCATGCCCAGCTAATTTTTGTATTTTTGGTAGAGACGGGGTTTCACCATGTTGGCCAGGCTGGTCTCGAACTCCTGTCCTCAAGTGATCCACCCACCTTGGCCTCCCAAAGTGCTGCGATTACAGGCATGAGCCCCACGCCCTGCCTCCTTGTCATGGCTTTTACTCCACAGTGTGTATGCCGTTGAAATTGAATAAATATGGATTACAACAGAGACCACTGTTGTGCTATGATTACATTTGTCAACTTAGATAACAGAGAGGCTCTGTGAAAGAAAACGACATTTATTCAAAAATAGGGCGTTGCAGTCGGAACACACGTGCGGTGGTAGACTGTGTGTGTTCAGGGAGGTAAAGGGAGAAAAAGGCTTTTAAAGGGAAAACGAGGATCACACCGTTGTTTTGAGGCGATTCCCCTTGTCTACAAGCATCAGCGGCGGGGGGTGCCAGTCCAGGGTTGGACCGCAGTTGCTGGGCAGATGTCCTCACAGTATTTTCTGTCCATGGTTGCAGTGGACTTCATACAGCGTTGTGGTTTCTCAGTATTTTGTGATAGTAATACAAGAGTTATTAAGAAATAATTTTTATGCCGGGTGCGGTGGCGCACGCCTGTAATCCCAGCACTTTGGGAGGCCAAGGCAGGCAGATCACCTGAGATCAGGAGTTCGAGACCAGCCTGGCCAACATGGTGAAACCCCATCTCTACTAAAAATACAAAAATTAGCCGGGCGTGGTGGCGGGTGCCTGTAATCCCAGCTACTCCGGAAGCTGAGGCAGGAGAATCGCTTGAACCCGGGAGGCGGAGGTTGCAGTGAGTCAAGATCACGCCATTGCACTCCAGCCTGGGGGACAAGAGTGAGACTGTGTCTTTAAAAAAAAGAAAAAAAAGAAATAATTTTTAGGCAGCTGGATAGGGTAAAGGTTCTAGGTGGAAACTAACAGAAAGGCGGCTTAAAGAGCCAGACCAGCAAGCTTTGATATGCAAACGCCGGCAAATAGACACTGGGTCTACCCAACATGGCGATTCCCACATCTTCTTGTCGACAGGTGTGCCAGGTGTCATGGCCGCCCCCACATAACACCATGTGTTCAAAACGTCATGGCAACCCACATTTGCATATTAAAGGACTAAGGTGGGAGGGCCAGGTTTCTCATGGACTACGTGAATGATACACCCGGTCAAACCAATTCCCTGCCCCCTATGCAAACCAGACACCGCCTCCTCCAGCCTCCCGCTATCGTGGAATGCCCTTCTGCGGCATGCGGGGCCTCTTTGCTCTGAGCCCCACTGCGTCTCTGTATAGGGGAGCTGTTTTATTCTTTATTCCTTCTTCCTTGCCTATTAAACTTTCTGCTCCTTAAAACCACTCCACATGTGTCCATGTCGTTTTATCTAAATCGGCGGAGGACCAAGGACCGTGATGTTCCTCCAGTCATTGGAGCCGTATCAATAGCTCTTGCTATCAGTAATTCATGCAGGAGAACCCTCCCTTTATGGCCTCCCCCAGCGCTATTTGTCAGAGTATATGTCGCCCGGGCTGGAGTGCAGTGGCATGATCTCAGCTCATTGCATCCTCTGCCTCCCAGATTCAAGGGACTCTTCTGCCCCAGCCGCCCGAGTAGCCAGGACTACAGGTGCCACCATGCCCGGCTAATTTTTGTATTTTTAGTAGATACGGTGTTTCACCATATTGGCCAGGCTGGTCTCAAACTCCTGACCTCATGATCCACCCACCTCGGCCTCCCAAAGCGCTGGTATTACAGGCGTGAGCCACTGCGCCCAGCCTATTTGTCAGAGGCTTTTTTTTTTTTTTTTAACAGAAGTGACTCCATTTTAATTCTGATAACTTTCTCATTGTCCCCTTTTTACCAAGGTCTTTCTTTGAAAGAATCACTGATCAATTATTCTATTGTTAGGTTTTGATTGTCCCTTGTTGGTGCTGGGATGTGGTGTCCTGCGGTTGCTGGTCTTGTCCCACAGTGGAGGGAAGTGATTAGCAGCTAGAAGTCAGTGGCAAAACCTTTAGCCACATTTGAACAAGAGAGATTTGAAAGGAATGTCTCTCAGGCTGAGTCTACCTGGAGTCCATTATTAATTTCAGTTTTATTTGTTTCATAGTCTTTGCTATCATCTCAAAGAGCCGGTCCAGCATTGTTCAGTTAGGAGGTGTACATCTGCAGAAATTTAACAAGTAACAGGCACAAAGTTTAAAAAGGGAAAATACAAAGTAAAATTAATAGTAATATGAAAATCCCAGTTTGCATAACAGTTTTGAGCTACAAACCTAGGCTTAAGATCACCAGTTGAATGAACTAAATGACCATGATCCTGTGGCACGAGCAGGTAGACGGTAAGAGGGAGGGCGTCTCTGATACAGAATCTCGTCCCGATGAACTGGAAGCCCTGGCTACAGTGTGAAAACGCCAGCTTCTCTGCCTGGTTTGCAGGTGAAATGTCTGTGGTTATGGCATTGGATGGTTTGGTGAACTCCTGTGGGGCCCATATGTCAGATATGAGACTTGTTCCTTAAAATTCATCTAGTTTCAGTTTATAGGGATTTAGGAACAGAGCAGTTTTTATTTTTAGTAATTCCATGGAAGAAATTTTGACTGAAGGAATCTAGAAGAATTTAGGATCTAGTCTAGTCTGTAGGTAGATATAAGAGCTCAAATACAATGCCCAGAGCTACAATCTCCTAACAGATGTATTATAGCTTTTCTTTTCCTTTTTCAAAAAGTATAGAGATAAGGGTCTCTCTATTTTGCCCAGGCTGGTCTCGAACTCCTGGGCTCAAGTGATCCTCCTACCTCAGCCTCCCAAAGTGTTGGGATTACAGGCGTGAGGCACTGCACCCAGGCCTACAGCTTTTCTTTAGAAACATAAGCTTTTCTCCCTATGTTGATCAGATGGGAATCTCAGATTTAATGGCCTCTTGAGGCTAAGAAGCCAAACCAAGGCAGGCTTTAGATTTGACCGATAGCCCTGAGGTTCCTGGGCCTGCCAGATGGTGACAGTTTTTATTTACTCTCGCTGTAAGGCTGGGAACTTTCTTTTTATTTGGAGGGGGGATGGAGTTTTGATCTTGTTGCCCAGGCTGGAGCGCAATGGCGCGATGTTGGCTCACTTCAACCTCTGCCTCCCGGGTTCAAGCGGTTCTCCTGTCTCAGCCTCCCAGGTAGCTGGGATTACAGGCGGCTGTCACCACGCCCAGCTAATTTTAGTATTTTTAGTAGAGATGGGGTTTCACCATGTTGGCCAGGCTGGTCTCAAACTCCTGACACCAGGTGATCTTCCCACCTCAGCCTCCCAAAGTGCTGGGATGATAGGCGTGAGCCAGCGCGGCCGGCCAGGCTTGGAACGCTTGAGGCACATTCTCAGAGACACGATTTCGGTCACAGCCTTGGTAATATGACTGGTGTTTTCAGTTGTAGCCTGTCATGAAAAGAGATTGACACATTACATTTTTGATACTACCTTACGTTTTTCCTGGCCTTTTGTTTATTTTTTATTTATTTATTTTTTAGAGACAGTGTCTCACTGTGGACGTCCAGCCTCTGGAACTGTGAGAGGTACATGTCTGTTATGTAGGCTGCCCAGGCTGTGGAACTGTGTCATAGTGGCCTGAGTGACTTAAGCACCTGCCTGTAGGCCAGGACTGTGGCTCCACAGCCCAGCTTCAAGCCTGGCCGACCAGGGGTTTGGCATGAAGACCCCGGCAGGGCTGGGGCTGTGCTGGAATCCACCCGGAAGTTTCCTGCCCCTTGGGCTGCCCACCAGGTCCCCTTTCTGCTCTGATCAAGCTGGACAAAACGTCGTGGGGCCACAGCACAGGGGGCCAACGCAAGCTGGGATCGTCAGACGTTAGGAAATCCCAAGGAAGAAGAGAAAGGGGACACATTCGGGAGACGTCGGCACACGCTCGAAGCAGCGGACAGGCACCTCTCTGTGGACAAGGCAGACTGGGCGGCCGAGATTCCGCATAGATGCCTGCTTCCTCCACGACCTCCACGTGTGGCTGGCCCAGTCCGGGTCCCCCTCACCTCCTCTGTCTGTCTTGGTGGCCTCACGCCGTGGGCTGTGATGCCGGCTACGCTGCTTGGGTGGCCAAGGGTCTGAGCTGCAAGACGCCCAGCCTGGGTCTCTCCCGAGCTCTCCCACGTCCTGTCTGCTCCTCCTCCGAGCTCCCGGTTGACTCTCACGACTGCACCAGCCTCTCCCCCAGGAAGGCGTGGAAACAACCTCCTTCTCCCAGGCCCGCTCTGCCTCCTGCGTTTCAAGGCAAATCCGTTCCTCCAGGAGATGATGCAACCACATCCTGTTGGAGCCCAGAGAAGTGCGGATGCAGCCCGGGGCTCTTTCTTTCCTAGAACCCTGCCTGGGAGTGGCTTCCCTGAACTAAGGACAGAGACTTTGTCTTCGTTGCCTCTCGGCCTGTGGGCACTGAGCATACAGTAGGTGCTCAGTAAATGCTTGCAGGCCGATGCCCAGAGCCATTAGCCCTCATCATGGTGAGCTCGGCAGCCGGTGTTGGGGCTGGGCTGGGCCTAGGTGTGCGTGGGGGCGGTGCTGGTCTGCTTTGCTGGGAGCCATGGACACCGGAGGAACAGGGCCCCATCAGTGCGGTCAGAGTGCAAACTCGGAGCGTCCTTCTCTGGAAAACGAATCGCAGTGGCCCCGATCTTTGGGGCTTTCTGTGTCCCCTGTGCATGGTTAGAGAAGAGAAAACATGCACTGGTTTCCTGAAAATCCCTAGGATTTCTTCAGAGGTCTCAGCTTCTGCCCACAGCCTCTGGGGAGCAGACCAGGAGCCCCGCAGCACGGGAGTCCCCAGACCCACCCTGACCACAGCCCAGGAATCCCGAAGCAGAGGCTCTGGGTCAGCTTCTGCAGACGCTGGAGAAGGCGGGAGGCTCAGGGCTGGGCCTCCAGGTGTAACCGCCTGATGGGCTCTTCCTGCCCCTGCACAGACAAAACCTCTTCACTGGGCCCAAGGCATTGCTATAAAGAGTTTAATAGACACCAGGCTGGCCATGCCACGTGGGAGATGGAGTTATTACTCAAATCAATCTCCCCCAAGAGACGGAGTTATTACTCAAATCAATCATCTCCCCCAAAATTCTCAGGCTCGGGTTTTTCAAGGATAGTTTGGCAGGCCAGGGAGTCTGCTTCTGGGTGGGGCCACAGGACCCGTTTGTGGCGGGCAGGGGGGTTGGTGTGTCCAAATCCAGGTGGAGCCATCATTGTCAGAAATGCAAAAACCTGAAAAGACACCTCAAAAGGCCGATCTTAGCGTCTACAATAGTGATTCATCCTCAGGAGTAATTGGGGAAGTTGCAAATTGTGTGACCTCCGGAATAATGGCTGTTACAATTTTTGCAAAGGCAGTTTCACAGGGATGAGGCCAGGACAGAGGGCACAGCCCGCTGGGACTCCAGGGCTGCCCCTGCACCCCCCATATCAGCTCAGAGAGGCCTGGTGTCCCCGCTGCCAGGGGTTGACACCCACTGGTACCCCCTGTGGAGCAGCTGTGGGCGGGGGCTCTGCAGGGAGGGTGTCGGGGGGGCCAGGTGAGCCAGCCCAGAGCCATGCCCGCACCTGCTGTGGGCCCTGGCCAGGGCAACCGCTGCCTCTTCCTTTGATGTCCCTACCCTATGCCCCTCTCTTCAGGCCTGTTCTGCCTGACCCCGCTACCTCCATCCGGCTGCCTTCCATGAGCAGCAGCTGCCTCCCCCCCACACCCTTCCTTGGTGGCCCCGCCCCTCTGATCTCCGTGAGCCAGGATCTCCCCCAGGATCCCTATTTCCCACGGGCTTTTGGCAATGGGCTGCTCACCCCCTCCTTCCCCTCCTCCTCATTCATCTGCCATCTGTGAAATGTGGAGGAGGGGCCTGCCCTGTGCCAGGATCTGTGCCCTAGACACTTCCCCAGCCAGGCCCAAGGGCTGAGCGTGAGGCTGGCAGGTCTGCACTTGAGGTGGATGGTGAGGGTGCCCTCGCCCACCTGCAGCCATTGTCTGCTGAGTACCTGTGGTGCAGATGGGGATGGCTGCAGGGGGGTCTCAGCTCACGCAGTATTGCGGCCATGGGTGCTGGACATTGGTAGGTCTCTCTGAGCAGAGCCCGATGGAAGTGAGAAGGGCGTGCGTTAGGGGAGCATTTGGAGAGGGAGCCACGGGTACAGCTGCCCTGCAAGCTCCAGCGCCCATGGGAAAAAGGGACCGAGGGGGAGAGGGGAGGGGATAGGGGGAGGGGAAGGGGATGGGGCGTCGGTGGTTGCTTGGGCTCTTAGGGTGGGGGTGATGCCTGCAGTCTTGGTGTTGAAGGGAAGACCAGGGAAGAGGGAAGGCAGGAGGCCTGGGAGAGAAAGGGAAGAGCTGTTGGGTGCTGGCGGAGTGGAGCGGGCTCTTGCATCACTCCATCCCAGGCTCCACCCTGCCTGCACCTGGAGGCCTCCCTCACCTGGCTCCTCTGTGCTCCAGACCCCTCCCCTTTCCAGGTCCAGGATTCCCCCTGCCCAAACAGCACTGACCAGGCCCCCAGGGCCTGTGCCTGCAGCCCCCAGGGACGGGTGGGCGTAAAAAGATACAGCGGGCCAGGCGGCTCACGCCTGTAATCCCAGCACTTTGGGAGGCCAAGGTGGGTGGATCATGAGGTCAGGAGTTCAAGACCAGCCTGGCCAAGATGGTGAAACCCTGTCTCTACTAAAAATACAAAAAAATTAGCCGGCGTGGTGGCCTGTGCCTGTAATCCCAGCTACTCCGGAGGCTGAGGCAGAGAATTGCTTAAACCTGCAGGGGTGGAGGTTGCAGGGAGCCGAGACCGCACCACTGCACTCCAGCCTGGGCGACAGACCAAGACTCCGTCTCAAAAAAAAAAAAAACAAAAAAACACAGCGGCCATTCTGGGAGCCTTGGAATGACCCTGAGAAGTGAGTGTGAGCATGTCTGGAACACGCAGCCGAGCCTGAAGGAGGACTGGGTGCCTGCAGTGGGAGCCATCTCCCTTCTGGGTTTTCTGATTTTAGCCTCGCGCTGCCTTTGAGCGATTTTCCAATCTGTACATTACAGATAACAGAGAGCAATGCAGATAACTCTTGCTTATAGCCACGTGTAGTGGGTTGACAGTGGCCCCCAAAAGCTATGTGTAAGTCCCGACCCTCATGCCTATGGGGTTGAGCTTATTTGGAAATAGGGTGTTTGTAGATGCGTCATTAGATTAAGGCTTTTTTTTTGTTTTTTTGTTTTGTTTTTTGTTTTATTTTTTTTTTTTTAGGCGGAGTCTCACTCTTGTTGCCCAGGCTGGAGTGCAGTGGCACGATCTCGGCTCACTGCAACCTCTGCCTCCTGGGTTCAAGCAATTCTCCTGCCTCAGCCTCCCAAGTAGCTGGGATTACAGGCACCCACCACCACACCCAGCTAATTTTTGTATTTTTAGTAGAGATGGGGTTTCACTATGCTGGCCAGGCTGGTCTTAAACTCCTGACCTCAGGCAACCTGCCTGCCTTGGCCTCCCAAAGTGCTGGGATTGCAGGCGTGAGTCACCGTGCCCAGACAAATTAAGGCTCTTGAGACGAGGTCATCCTGGGTTATGCAGATGGACCCTGAATCCGACACTAGCACCCGTGTGGAAGGAACGAGAGGGAGATTTGGGGTCCGCAGAGGCAAACCACAGGAGGACGGAGTCGGAGACTGGAGCACCGCGGCCTTGATCGGGGGACACCAGGGCTGCCGGCTGTGCCAGAAGGGGCTGAGGCTGGACCGGATTCTCTCCGAGTTCCCAGAAGGAGCCAGTCCTGCCGACGCCTTGATGCTGGACTCTGGCCTCCAGAAATGTGCGAGGACAAACATCTGCGGTTTCTAGGCCCCGCCTGTGGTCCTCTGTTGCAGCAGCCTGGACAGTCTGGACTGCCTGGACAGCATGCAGATGGGCTCTGCCCGCGGCTGCCCACGAGTTCCCACCGCCCGCCCGTCCGTGGGAGAGCCAGTCCTCGTATGTGAAGCGTACCTGTATCCCTTTACTCCGCGTACACAGGTG
Organism: Homo sapiens; assembly: GCF_000001405.40. Lineage (NCBI taxonomy): Eukaryota > Metazoa > Chordata > Mammalia > Primates > Hominidae > Homo > Homo sapiens. The sequence goes on from NC_000021.9 coordinate 44,206,559, forward strand.
CCTTTGTCACTTCTCCTTTGACCTGGCTGGCACATCTTACCGGTTTCTGCGCTAACAATGAGTTGAAGGAAATCTTGAACGCGCGTTCATTTTATATCGGTATCAGAGTCTGTTTATTTCTTGTTGACACTAATCTTTGAGCATGAGTAGTTTAGTGATTGTGAAACAGAAACTTCTGGATACAAAATCAGTCTCCTGGCTGTGACCCAATCATCTTCGCAGTTCTGATTACCTGTGATTAAGAAAATAAATAAGAACACCCATTGGGGGAAGGCTTCCCTCCCCCGGGCACAGCAGCTTTAAAACCGAAAGGGAAGTGGGTGCTGTGAGCAGCTCTGTTCAGGCCTAAGGCCACGCATGTGTGCCCCGTGGGGGAGACATGCACCAGCGAATCAGGAAACAGTGGTGACAGCCGTTCCGGGAGGCTGACTGGGGGTGCAGGGGTCACTTTTCTAATGTGGGTGGGTCTGTGTCCCCTGCAGGAACGTGGCTGCAGCAAAGCCGGTCAGCCAGCGGTCAGCTCCAGCCCCTGTCCAGGCCCTGTGGGTCCTGCTGACCAGGCTGCGGTTGTTCCCAAACCAGTTCCCAGCCCCCGCTTGCCCTACTTCCTCTCACACCAGCTCCTTCCACCCCCTCACACCCACCTGCAGGCTCCCAGCCCAGGCTACTGACATCAATCATGGCAATCGCTATTCCAGAGGTATACGCGGTGGGTGGGGTCCGGTATCGCCTGCCATGCCTCACTCACCGGGCACCCAGATAACCTGAGGCCAGGGAGCAGCCACTCGCCCTGACCCATGCTCCCCGGGCCCCTGAGGCACCCAGGAGGACCACCCGGCCGCTTCTGCTCAGAGCCCAGCACCCCCGAGTCTGTGAAGAGGTCACATCTGACCACGTTTCCAGGTGGCTGCCCAGGCGTGGGTTCATGGCCGCTTCCGGTTTCCTCCTCGAGCTGAACCACACACCTGCTCTGTCCCGGGCTTTCTGGAGGGGTTTTCCGAAGTGAGACTGTGGGCTCCCTCCAGGGCTGGGGGCAGGAGGACACACGGGGAAGGTGGGCAAGCAGCCCCAGGCTGAGGGAGGCCTCCCCTCTGCAGCGTTTGTTCATTCATTTGTTCATCGCTAACACTGTCTTGGGCATCAGGGAAAACAGGTGTCTCTGGTCCACATGCAGAAGAGCCACCACCGTGGCACGACTGGATGACTCAGACCCCGGGCGGGGGGTATGATTTGGACACAGTCATTGTCCAGGGACACAACTTTGCCTGGACCAGAGCTTCTCACCCCCAGGCCATTTGAAACCCCAGGGGATACTCGACAAAGTCCAGAGACATTTTGGGTTGTTCCTTTCCAGCCCCGGCGATGGTGGGGACGTGTCCATGTCTGTGTCCCTCCGGTCACTCTCTCTGGCCCTCTCCCTCCCTGGGGGCAGCTGCTCTCAGCCCTCCCTGCCCCCACATCGCCATCCTGCCTGTCCTTCTGGGCCTGCACGTTTGTTGTGTTTGGAAGGAGCCACCAAGGAGGAGGATGTCAATGTGCAAGTTCTCAGGGAAGCAGGCCCCGCAGCCTCCGTCAGTGTCTTCCGTCCGCAGGAAGAACCCAGGCCTGGGTGATTCATCGGGGCCTCAGGGCCGGGAGGCACTAAATCTTCTGCAGATGTGGTAAGATCCTATCACAGCAGAAAGGGAAGGGCTAGAGTCTCAGGGAAGGTTTTGCTAGGGAGACGGGCTTGGAGGGGGCTGAGGCTCATGGGAGCTGCAAGGGTACAGGAGGGGAGGGGACCCCAGGGCAGGTGGATGGACACCTGGGTGGGTAAGAAAAGGGCCTCTCAGAGGGCAAGGGAGGGCCAGGGAGGGAGCAGTGAGCCCTGACTGACTGTACAAGCTTAACTGGCTGCCCTTGTCCTGCAGGTGGTGTGGGCTGTGTGGATTTCGGATGTGGGCCCATAACATAGCCACACTGCTGCAAAGCAAGTGAGTCTGAGGCAAGAAGAAGGCCCAACCTTGGGAGGCTGACCTGGAGGGCAGGCAGAGGCAGGTGGTAAGGACCTGCCTTACCTGTTGAGGTGACAGTGGGGGACATATTGCAAGGAAGGAGGCCCTGGATCCTCAGGATGTGGATGGTGGGTAGAAGGGTGACAGCTAATGGATGTCCACCTGCACAGATGCCCACCTGCATGAGTGCCCACCTGCATGAGTGCCCACTTGTACCAATGTCCACCTGTACAGATGTCCACATGCAAATGCCCATCTGCACTGATATCCACCTGCACAGATGCCTACCTGCATGAATACCCACTTGCCTGAAAGCCCACCTGCACCCATGTCCACTGGCACAAATGCCCACCTGCACCCGTGTCCACTGGCACAAATGCCCACCTGCACAGAAGCCCACCCACACAAATGCCCACCTGCAAAAATGTCCGCCTGCACAGATGTCCACCTGCATGAATGCCCACCTGTGTCCACATGCACGAATACCCACCTGCACAGATGCCCACCTGCACGGATGCCCACCTGTACAAAGGCCTACCTGCGTGAATGTCCACCTGCATGGATGCCCACCCGCACGGATGCCCACCTGCACAGTTATCCATCTGAACAGCCCTCTGGTGCCTCCTTTTGCTTGCACATGTTCAAATCCTCCCAGTCCTACAGTCGATTGTTCCTAGTTGGGGTCATTCTGGGCATGTTATTCTAAAACTTGTTTTTTCCCGTCTCCACATCAAAGGAGAAAGGTCTAGCTTGCTTCTTTGCTATAGAGCAGGGCCTGAGTGAGGTCAGGACCACAGAGCAGACCCTATGAGTGTTGGTCAGGACACAGAGCAGGACCCCTTCAGGGTCTGGAAGAGGGTTCCCCAAGCTCCTGTTCAACCTGAGTGAGAGGCTCAGGCTGCCCCCAACACACTGCACAGAAAAATGGGCCATTGATTCAGAGCCACCCACGCTAACAGCAGTTCAGCTGCAGCCCTCCGGCAGGCAGGTCCTGGGAACACTAGGAACCTGAGACCCTGTCCCTTCCTGATAGCGGGGTGTGGTGACATGAGGAGAGACTGGGTACCTCCATTCTGCTCATGAAAGTCACAGAGGGGACCGGGGACCCCAGGCCCCTAGCGATACCAGCACCCCACACAATGCCTTTCTGGGATACACCCCCCCAACATGGCCTGCCCAAGGCATCAGGAGCTGTGTAGAGGAGTCAGCTGGGGGTGGCAGAGCCCCAGGGAACAATCATGGGTCGCTGGCAGATAAGCCATGCGCCCACACAGCACAGGCCCTCACCCCTGCAGCTGGGGGAGCCCTCCTTGGGAGCGGGCCCAGGATCCGGGCAAAATGACACAGACCGGATCCAGGAGCAGACTGAGCAAAAGTGGCAAAAGTATTCTCCAGGTTAAGGGAATATTTTCACCAATTGAGAGACCAGCTGTCCCTCCAGACCCAAGGGTTCCACATCCCTGGAGGCAACCAAGCCAGATGCAAAATATTTGAAAAAGAAAAATGAAAAAAAGAACAATACAGCAATAAAAAAGAACACAAATAAAAAATACAGTATAGCTATTGACAGAGCATTGTGTTGTGTTAGGTCTGATAAGTGATCTAGCAATGGTTTGCAGGATGCAGGAAGATGTGCGGGAGGGTGGGCACAGGTGCTAGGCAGACACTGCGCCATTTTATTCTGGGGACTTCAGTATCTGCAGGGGTCCTGGGACTAATCCTCAAAGGATACCGAGGGACAACTTGATGTTATTATTTTATTTTATTTTAAAGACATGTCTTGCTATATTGCTCAGGCTGCTCTCAAACTCCTGGGCTCAAGTGATCCTCCTGCCTCTGCCTCCTGAGTAGCTGGGACTACAGGCATGAGCCACCATGCCTGACTTATGTTATGATTTTAAAAAGTAATCCATCAACCTGAAGAGAAGCCCACTGTCCTTCACCTTTGGAAGTTCCTACCCACCATGGGTAAGATTTCTGCATGGAGAGGCCCTGCTCCCCCAACCTCTCTCTTGAGTCCCCTGCTCAGCTGGCATTCCCCACCTACTGTGGAAGAACATTCTGGGTTTCTCCGTCAGCCCCAGGCCCACCCCTTGGGGAGATGACTGGTGACTTACATGTGTCTGTCTCTCCAGCTAGGCATGGTGCCACAGCAAGGGGTGTAAATACTGCAGGCCACACATTCCCGGCACCCAGGACAGGAGCAAACAAAAGGATAGATGGTTGGCTGGCTGGATGGATGAATGGAGGGAAGGAGGGAGGGATACAGGAATGGAGGGATGGAGGGATGGAGGGAGGGATGACGGAGGGAGGGATGGGTGGGTGGGAGGGATGGATAGATGGAAGGATGGAAGGAGGAGGGATGGATGGATGAAGGGAGGGAGGAATGGATGAATGGAGGGAGGGAGAGAGGGAGGGATGGACAAGAGGTAGGGAAGGATGGACGGGAGGGAAGAATGGAGGGAGGGATGGATGGAGGGATGGAGGAATGGATGGATGGAAGGGAAGGATGGAGGGATAGAAGGATGGAGGGAGGGAGGAATGGATGGATGGAGGGAGGGATGGATGGATGGAGGTAGGGAGGGAGGAATGGATGGATGGATGGAGGGATGGATGGATGGAGGTAGGGAGGGAGGGATGGATGGATGGAGGTAGGGAAGGAGGAATGGATGGATGGATGGAGGGATGGATGGATGGAGGTAGGGAGCTAGGGATGGATGGAGGGAGGGAGGGGGTGGATGGGAGGGAGGGATGGATGGATGGAGGGAGGGAGGGAGGGATGGACAGGAGGGAAGGATGGATGGATGGAGAGATGAGGGATGGATGGATGGAGGGATGGATGGATAGATGAAGGGAAGGAGGGAGGGAGGGATGAATGGATGGAAGGATACAGGACACAAGGTCATAGGTTTGACAAATGTCACCTCCTCAGAAGCCTCCCTAACACTCACAGTTTGATAAGTCCCCTGTTTGATTCTCTCCCAGAGCCCAGGTCACTCCAACACTGTCTGGTTTACCTGCCTTCTGCATGGCTTGCCCTCTGTCTCCAATTCCTGGAACAGGTCCCACCACCTGACACCTGACATCTGTCAGGGACACATGAATGTGGAATGGATGGATGGATGCCTGTGAATGAATGTGGGATGAGTGAAAAGTGAGTGAATATGGGATGAATGAATGAGCTAGTGAATGTGTGATGAATGTGTGAGTGAGAGAATGTGGGCTGAGTGAATGTGGGACGAATGAGTGAGTGAATGTGTGATGAATGTGTGAGTAAGTGAATGTGGGCTGAGTGAATGTGGGATGAATGAGTGAGTGAATGTGGGCCGAAAGAATGAGTGAGTGAATGTGGGATGGATGAGTGAGTGAATGTGAGATGAATGGATGAGTGGGTGGGTGAATGTGGGATGAATGGGTGCGTGAATGTGGGATGAATGAATGAATGAGTGAATTTTGGATGAATGAGTGAGTGAATGTGGGATGAATGAATGAGTGAGTGACTGAGCTGAATGGTTGAGTGAATGTGGGATGAATGAATGAGTGAGTGACTGAAATGAATGGGTGAGTGAATGTGGGACGAATGAATGAGTGAGTGAATGTGGGATGAATTAATGAGTGAGTGAATGTGGGCTGAATGAACGAGTGACTGTGTGATGAATGAGGGAATGTGTGTTGAAGGAATGACTGAATGTGAGATGAATGAATGAGTGGGTGAATGTGGGATGAATGAGTGAGTGAATGTGGGATGAATGAATGAATGTGTGATTTGGGATGAATGAATGAGTGAATGTGGGATGAATGAATGAGTGAGTGAATGTGGGATGAATGAGTGAGTGAATGTGGGATGAATGAATGAATACAAAGCCCCCCCACCCCCCAGGTGCTTCAGCAGAACAGTTTCATGGGAAAGGAGATGTCCTGGACCCTGGGCCTCATGAAGCCAACCTTGGGGCTTCAGCTGAGAGTGTTAAAAATAGAGACCGTTAAAAAATTTTTTTTTAAAACAAACGAACGGAAATTCCCTTTATCAAAAGGAGTCACTGTCATTGAATTCAGAAAAGTTACATGTTCAGGAGCTGAGGGCCTTTTCTTGAAAATATAACACACCTCTCTGGGGGCTTCCCTGGGGACAGCCCGGGAGTGAGGCCAGCTGCTCGGGGAAGCTGAGGCTGACATGGGGGTCTGTGTCCAGGGTGGGTGGGGCCTTTGGAAAACAGTCATCCAACAGTCACTAAGAAAGACACTGACAATTCATTCATGGATTTTGCAAATAAACCATGGGCCCCACATAAAGGATTGTTATTTAAGGAAAATGCCCTTGGCCAATTTGTCCTGAGGATTTTTTGGACAAAACAGCATTTGTCAGCGTGGAACTTCTCAACAGGAAATGCAAAAATCCAAATAAATAAATAATTTGGGCTGGGCGTGGTGGCTCACACCTGTAATCCCAGCACTTTGGGAGGCCAAGGCAGGCGGATCACCTGAGGTCAGGAATTCAAGACCAGCCTGGCCAACATAGTGAAATCCTGTCTCTACCAAAAATACAAAAATTAGCTGGGCGTGGTGGCATGCATCTGTAGTCCCAGCTACTCGGGAGGCTGAGGCAGGTCAATTACTTGAACCCGTGAGGCGGAGGTTGCTGTGAGCCGAGATCACGCCAGTGCACTTCAGCCTGGGCGACAGAGCGAGACTCCGTCTCAATAAATAAATAAATAAATAATTTGGAGAAGGTTGTGGGCTCAGGGCTGGCCATGGGAGAGCAAGGAGTGGTAGGTGCGGCTAAGCAGGTGTTCCAAACAAAACACACCCCAAGCGCAGCCCTGATTTTAGAGTTCACAGTTTCTGTCGTGTAAATGCTCCATACTCCTGCTGTGGCCATTTGTAAGCTTCCAGCTAGTTCTCAACTAGCTGCAAAATTCTTGAATATTTAGTAATGGTTTCCACACCTGGGGACCTGGGCAGGGCTGCACCAAGGTGAGGCCTGGGGAAGACCCTCATGCTCCAGCAAGTGCAGCGTTGGCCCCAGGGGTGAGCATACCCCGCGTTTTCCTCCCTGGCTTCCCAGATTGTCTCCCCTCACCCATTCTGGTGGTGGCCAACGTGGCTATTGCCATGGATCACAACCCCTGGCCAGACCATCCCATCCCCCTGGGCCTCTGGCTCCTTTCAGTAAAATCACGGTGGGACCCTGTCTGTCGCCATAAGACTGCTCCCGTGAGGTAACTGTTGGTCACTTCCTTTGGCCTGCCATTTGCACAGCACAATGGTTCTTCTGAGTGAGTATAAGCTGGCTGCATGTTAGATGTACCTGGGTCCCACCCCACTGTCAGAGGTATTTGAACCAGAGTGACTCCATCTTAAATAGGCACTGGGTAGAATGAGGCTGAGACCTACTGGGCTGTATTCCCAGGGTGTCAGGCATTCTAAGTCACAGGATGAGACAGGAGGTCGGCACAAGGTACGGGTCACACAGATCTCACTAATAAAGCACGTTGTGGTAAAGAAGCTGGGTAAAACCCACCAAAACCAAGATGGTGACAAGACTGACCTCTGGTCGTCCTCACTGCTCCTTTTTTTTTTAACATTGAGACGGAGACTTGCTCTGTCACCCAGGCTGGAGTGCAGCGGCGTGATCTCGGCTCACTGCAAGCTTTGCCTCCCGGGTTCACGCCATTCTCCTGCCTCAGCCTCCTGAGTAGCTGGGACTACAGGCGCCCGCCACCACGCCCGGCTAATTTTTTTGTATTTTTAGTAGAGACAGGGTTTCACTGTCTTAGTCAGGATGGTCTTGATCTCCTGACCTTGTGATCCGCCCGCCTCGGCCTCCCAAAGTGCTGGGATTACAGGCGTGAGTCACCTCGCCTTGCCTTTTTTTTTTTTTTTTTTGAGACCTAGTCTCGCTCTGTCACCCAGGCTGGAGTGCAGTGGTGTGATATCAGCTCACTGCAACCTCCGCCTCCTGGGTTCTAGCAATTCCCCTGCCTCAGCCTCCCGAGTAGCTGGGATTACAGGCACACGCCTCCATGCCTGGCTAATTTTTTGTATTTTAGTAGAGGAGACAGGGTTTCACCATGTGGCTGCTCTTTATACGCTGATTATAATGTATTAGCATGCTAAGAGACACTCTCACCAGCACCACGACAGTTTATAAATGCCATGGCAACATCAGGAAGTTACCCTATATTGTCTAAAAAGGGGAGGATGGCCAGATGCAGTGGCTCACGCCTGTAATCCCAACACTTTGAGAGGCTGAGATGGGCAGGTCACTTGAGACCAGGAGTTTGGAGACCAGCCTGGTCAACATGGCAAAAACCCTATCTCTACTAAAAATACAAAAATTAACCAGGTGTGGTGGTGCACATCTGTAATCCCAACTACTTGGGAGGCTGAGACATGAGAATCTTTTGAACCCGGGATTCGGAGGTTGCAATGAGCCGAAATCACATCGCTGCACTCCAGCCTGGGTGACAAAGTGAGACCTGTCTCAAAAAATAAATAAACAAAAAACAAATAAAGGAGGAACCCTCAGTTTCAGGAATTGCCCACCCCTTTCCCGGAAAGCTCATGAATAATTTACCCCTTGTTTAGCATATAATCAATAAATAACCGTAAAAATAGCCAACCAGTAGCCCATACTTCTGCTCTGCCTATGGAGTGGCCATTTTTCTTATTCCTTTACTTTCTTAATAAACTTGCTTTCACTTTATAAAATCGTCCCAAATTCTTTCTGGAAGGAGGTCCAAGTACCGTCTTGGGGTCTGGATTGGGATCCCTTTGTGGTAAAACAACCCTTCCGTAACTGCTGTTAATGGGAAAAAACAGACTCTAGAACATTTTACAGAGGTTTATTCTGAGCCTGTACATGTGACTGTGGCCTGGAGAGAAGCAAACCCAGGAAGCCTTGAGTGAGTCGCCCCGAGGCGGCCGGGTTACAGCTTGACTGAGTGGCCCCGAGGCGGCCGGGTTACAGCCTGAGTGAGTGGCCCCGAGGCGGCCGGGTTACAGCTTGACTGAGTGGCCCCGAGGCGGCCGGGTTACAGCTTGACTGAGTGGCCCCGAGGCGGCCGGGTTACAGTTTGGTTTTACTCATTTCAGGAAGACACAAGTTACAGGCCAAGACATAAATCAGAATGTGGAAGGTGCACACTGATTTGGCCTGAAAGGCAGGAGATCTTGGAGCAGGGTTTACAGGTCATAGGTAGGTTCCACGATTCTTTTTTTTTTTTTTTTTTGAGACTGTGTCTCACTCTGTCGCCCAGGCTGGAGTGCAGTGGTGCGATCTCAGCTCACTGCAACCTCTGCCTCCTGGGTTCAAGTGATTCTCGTGCTTCAGCCTCCCAAGTAGCTGGGATTACAGGCGCCCACCACCATGCCTGGTGAATTTTTGTATTTTTAGTAGAGACGGGGTTTCACCATGTTGGCCAGGCTGGTCTTGACCTCCTGACCTCAAGTGATCCGCCCACCTCGGCCTCCCAAAGTGTTAGGATTACAGGCATCAGCCACTGCACCGGCTGGTTCTGCGATTCTTTAGTTGACGGTTGATTGAAAGCGTGAAGCTTTGTCTACAGAGGTGAAGTCAGCTGGAAGGAAGGCTGGAATTAAGATGAGGGGTGTGGGGGCCGAGGCCCTTGGTTTGCAGATGAAGCCTTGTAGATTGCAGCCCTCAGAGAGAATAGATGGCAAATGTCCCTTTTCAGACCTTAAAGGTGTCAGGCCCTCAGTTAATCTCTCCTAGGTCTGGAAAGTACTAGAAGAGGAAGTCCTGGCTGCATTCGTGGAGATTCTCTATGGGTGCTAGTTTCTCTGAGAAAGGATGGTTCTGTGGGACCCTTTCAAAATATGTCAAAGAAATATATTTTAAGGCAAAATATTCTCATTTCCTTCAGAGTCTGCTATCCGTCACGTGATGCTATACCAGAGTCAGGCTGGAATTTGGTGTCTTATTGCCACATAGAGTGTGTTCCATCCGTCTTAGGATCCTGATTTTAATGTCAGGACTGGCCAGCTGTGCCTCAACTCTGAAAGGGAGGGTTGTGGCTGTAACCAGCAAAGGTCTGGCTGCTCACCGCTTAAAAAGAAGCCACGATGACAAGAGTGGGGCGTGATAGAAAGAGAGTGAGCTGCCGGGCGCGGTGGCTCACACCTGTAATCCCAGCACTTTGGGAGGCCGAGGCGGGCAGATCACGATGTCAGGAGATCGACACCATCCTGGCTAACACGGTGAAACCCCGTCTCTACTAAAAATACAAAAAATTAGCCGGGCGCGGTGGCGGGCGCCTGTAGTCCCAGCTACTCAGGAGGCTGAGGCAGAAGAATGGTGTGAACCCGGGAGGCGGAGCTTGCAGTGAGCCGAGATCACGCCACTACACTCCAGCCGGGGTGACAGAGCGAGACTCCGTCTCAAAAAAAAAAAGAAAAGAAAGAAAAAAGAAAGAGCGTGAGCTTCATTCTCATGCTAGCAAGGGGGAGATTGGCCGGAATCCTTTCCAAAAATGGCCACTCTTCAATTTGTAGAGGGACGTGTAGAGGGGGTCTGGAATGCAGGCGAGGCAGGGGCCAGGAGGTGCCAGGTGACCTGCTCTGATGGCTTCTCTTGAGTTATTGTTCCATCTGTTACAGTAGGCAGCTGGTCAGACATGAGCAGGGCAGGAGAGGGCCCTCCCAACCAGGAATGTCAGGCGACCATCAGTGTTGGTCGGGTGGCTGTTAACTGTCTCTCTAAAATAATAATTGGTCACAGCCAACGCCAGGGAAAGGCAGCCTCCCAACAGACAGAAAAATCCTTCCCCATAAGACCTCAGGCATTGGGTGAGTGGGCTCAAGCATGTGTATTAAAAGGCAAAATTGTGGAGTGTAACTGGTCTATGGCCTCCTAGGGACATTTGACAGGTAAGGGAACAACGCCTCAGGTAAGCAGGCGCGCAACTCCAGTAAACACATAGCGCGTGCTCCTCCCAAGGGCTGGCAGCCACTGCACATGTGGACAGCCCACCCCAAGGGAAGAATCAGGGGAGAAGGCAGGCCAGACCCCGGAAGCGTGCCAACATATAAAACCCCAAGTCGAAGGTCAAACCACACACCTGTCCTTCAAGTCACCTGCTTGGCCCCCTTCCAAGCGTCCTTTCCTTCCTTTCATTCCTGCTCTAAAGCTTTTTAATAAATGTCACTCCTGCTCTAAAACTTGTCTCGGTCTCTTCTTCTGCCTTCTGCCCCTTGGTCGAATTCTTTCTTCTGAGGAGGTGAGAATTGCGGCTGCCGCAGACCTGTACGGATTTGCCACCGATCACAGGTTTTGGTGCCGTGTCACTTGGATAACTTCCACCACAAACACATCTGGTGAAGGGGCTGCGCCATCGCGGGTCGCCCCCAGATTAGAAATCAATCACAGTCAATCTTGCAGTGAGTCTTTAGCCAGGAGTAAGCTCTGGCCTCAAAGTAACCCGCCTGCTGGGGAAGGAATTCTGGAGATGCCTGGTTCGTCCCAGGATCTGGCCCCCAAAGCTTCTAGGAAATAGATGACCAGACAGGTGAGCATGGTGTGCACTCAGCAAGCATCCAGATAAACAAATGTGCACAGGGCCCGGGAGCTGCAGGTGGGAGAGGGAAGGCAGTAGGCTCACAGCTTGCTCCCAGGCTGGATTTCAAGATGAAAGGAAGCACATCTGTAGTTTGCTCAAAGCCATGTCTTGAGACTGGGGAGAAAGGAGGAAAGAAAGGCCGTGTTAAAACACAGTTCGAAGCTGAGCTGCTCGGTGACATAACGAGGCCTGTGCGACCACCCAGGAGGAGGTTTTTCAGGCTTCTCTGGGGTGGACATGGCCAAGCGGGGGTCACTTCAGTTGGCTGGGGACTTCGGGTTTTATTTTTGGTTTACACTGGCCTGGGATGGAACTGGGCAGTTCTAATGTGACTGGGTGTGTACTGGTGGCTTCACTCACCCAGGGCAGGCAGGCACCTGGAACCACGACTCAGAAAGAGGCAGGAAGGTGGAGTGAGAAGATGGAGCTATTAGGGGCGTGGCAGGGGCAGGTCAATCACCCTGAGGCTTCGGGGAGTTTCCTGGTCTCCAGAAGGGCAGTGTGCTCACCCTCCCCTGTGCATGGTGTTGTTAAGAGTGTTATCAGGAGTGTCTGCTGAGCTGTGACTTTGCCGTGCCATGCAAATACTCACAGGCAGCACTACTGTCAGGAAGATGGAGGCTGGGCCGGGAGGCTTGCTTTCAAGGCCACGAGTGTCAAACCCACAAACCGCAGAGCAGAACAGCCTTGGCCAAGCAGATGAGGAGGGCCTCATCCTCCATCTCCCGCCACCATCCTCTTCCCAACTGAAGTCAGAGGCGGGGAGGTGGGAAGTCCTGTCAGAGGCAGGGAGGTGGGACGCCCTGGGCCAGACAGATGATCCAAAGCCCTTGGTTTTAGGTACCATCTCTTCGATGTTTCTTGGCTGAGTAAACCAGCCCAATCTCTTTTTTATAAAATGAGACCACAGGTTGGCCTGAGAATGGAGAGGAGTGAGGAATCTAGCTGTTCTGGGGCCCCGGGCTGTTCAGAATCCATTGTAAACCATTGGAAAGCAGGTTTGTGTATTTGTTTAACTGCATCTTGTGGCTGGTCATTGTCTCTGTCTAAGCTCTCACCCAGCCCGGCTGCCTTCCCTGAGTCCCCACCTGACCTGCACAACTGCTGAGGACGAAAGCCTGTGTCCCCGACATGCACGGGAGAGCAGTGTCTTCCCAGGCCCTAGAGTGCCTGGCTGTGTGGGCAGCCCCAGGGCACAGTCTTCTAAAGAACCTCATTGAGGGTCGGGGGTCGGGGGAGTGGGCTCCAGGGTCCACTCCCAACCTTACAGCTTTTACCTCCGGAATCCCCAGGCTTCTGTCAGGAGGGTGCCTGAGTGGCTTACAACAAGAACTTTGCCTATCCCTTTACTGTTCGCAAAACACCATCTCAAAAATCAGTCAACATGGATTCCAAGTTTTGCCTTAGGCCACACTGGATGGAGTTGCCCCCGGCTGGAAGACAGGACCTTTATCCCCAGTGCCACAGGAGGATTCCCCTGTGTGGCCTCCCCACCGGCTGTGCCCTAAGATCAGTGCTGTGTGCACAGCCCAGCAGAGGAGCCCAGGAGACTCCAGCAGGCAGGGAGCTGCTGCCCCAGGAGCACATTCCAGCATCTGGAAACACCTCCCACTGCAGCTGCAGGGGAAGTGCCTGGAAGAGAAGGAAAAGAAAGAGGAGGAGGAGGAAGAGGAGGAGGAGGAGGAAGAGGAGGAGGAGGAGGAGGAAGAGGAGGAGGGTCGTGCCCACGCTCATGGCAAGCGTCACCCTGGAGCTTTCTGTCTCAGTCCAAGCACATCCACCTGCCCTTCCTCACTGCATTCTCCCAGGGGCCCCTGGCTGCACACAGGCATGGCCTGCATTTGCATAGAGGGTCTGGGCCCTTGGTGGAGGGCCTGGCCTGCCCCATCTTGGGTCCTGGCCCAGTGTTGTGGCTGCCAACCTGCCCTCAGAGCTTCACGGGAACCAAGGGCTCAGGCTCTGAGTGGAGTCCGGGTGGGCCTGGGCAGCCTTTGCCGGAGAGGCTCCTTCCTGACATGGCTCTGCTGGAGGAGAAAGTGTCAGTTCCTCTCTCAGGCCCTGTAGACAGGTGTCCAGGTAGACAGGAAGTTCCAGAGGTGATTTTAGCTCAGTCTGTTACTTTTCTGCTGGCAGGCTGGCTTTACTGTGGTTGTCCCTGTGGCCGTTGGCTGATGTTGCTGAAATTCCAGGGCTCTGGAGTGTCCACATGTCCACGGGATGGGAAGCCTGTTGCAGACCAGCCACCATGTCCCTGCGGCTCAGGACCACGCTCCTGAAGCCCAGAGTCCTGCCCTGGGAGCAGGTCTCAGTCAGGACTGACTCCTGAGAAGAATGAGAGGGGAAGTGCCTCCAGGCCGGGATGCCAGCTATAGCAGCGCCCTCCAGCAACGTCCTGGAGGAAGCACCTCATTCGTGCCAAACTCACTGATTCTAATTCGTCATCGTGATTCTTCACAATGAAGAAAAACTCCAAGCCAGTGCCTTCCTGGGGCATGGCAGGCCTCCCTCTGGTCTGAGCAGGCAGCTGTGCCCAGACCTGGGCTCTTCCGAAGGCATGTGACTCCCTTGCACACAGCCGGGTTCTGCTTGATGCTTCTTCACGGTGGAGGCAGAGAGGTTCCCGGGGTTACCCCATCGTCGATAATTTCATCGTTGATACTTTTTTTTTTTTCAGATGGAGTCTTGCTCTGTTGCCCAGGCTCGTGGCGCGATCTCGGCCACTGCACTGCGCTGCAACCTCCGCCTCCTGGGCCACGAGTGTCAAACCCACAAACCGCAGAGCAGAACAGCCTTGTTCTGCTGCCTCAGCAGCCACCATGATTCTCCTGCCTCAGCCTCCCGAGTAGCTGGGATGACAGGCACCCACCATCATGCCTGGCTAACTTTTTTGTAGTTTTGTAGAGATGGGGTTTCGCCATGTTGGCCAGGCTGGTCTTGAACGCCTGACCTCAGATGATCCACCTGCCTCAGCCTCCCAAAGTGCTGGAATTACAGGCGTGAGCCACTGTTTCCAGCCTTTGTTGATACTTTCTAAACCATCCCTCCTAAGCCCGGGTGGCTTGCTGCCTGCAGGGCTCCTGACCTCAGTGGCTGACTCCCCACACCCGACTCCAGCCTGTCCTCCCTGCCTGCTTACCTGGCCGGGTTTTTCCCATTTCGATCCCTGCAGAGGACAAATTAAAGTGAAGATTGTCACCTGTGGGTGGCTTGGGAGAATGAGAGGCAGAGAGGGTCAAAGTGATTGAATTCTGGGTTCAGGAAAAAGGGATATGGGTAATGTGTAAAAGAAGAAAAAAATACAGATGATTTGGTTAAAAGCAATTCGATCAAACACAAATTACTCAAAAGGATTTCTTGGCAGAAATGAAAGATTATTTGAACAATAATGTTCGACAATATCCAATCTCTATCTGGTAATTATCTGGATTTATCCAACCATAGGGTATTATTTCTAAATACCTAAATTAGGGGAATACCTAAGAAAAATGTTATCTTGACTTTTTTGTTGTTGTTGAGATGGAGTCTCCCTCTCTCACCCAGGCTGGAGTGCAGTGGCGTGATCTCAGCTCATTGCAACCTTTGTCTCCCGGTTTTAAGCAATTCTCCTGCCTCAGCCTCCTGAGTAGCTTGGATTACAGGCGCCCGCCACCACACCTGGTTAACTTTTGTATTTTTAGTATAGATAGGGCTTCACCATATTGCCCAGGCTAGTCTCAAACTCCTGACCTCAGGTGATCCGCCCACCTCGGCCTCCCAAAGTGCTAGGATTACAGGACCGCACCCAGCCAATTGACAAATTATTTTTAATTTTTTTTTTTTTTTTTTTTTAGACGGAGTCTCGCTCTGTCACCCAGGCTGGAGTACAGTGGTGCCATCTCGGCTCACTGCAAGCTCCGCCTCCCAGGTTCACACCATTCTCTTGCCTCAGCCTCCTGAGTAGCTGGAACTACAGGCGCCCGCCACCACGCCCGGCTAATTTTTTGTATTTTTAGTAGAGATGGGGTTTCACCGTGTTAGCCAGGATGGTCTCGATCTCCTGACCCCGTGATCTGCCCGCCTCGGCCTCCCAAAGCACTGGGATTACAGGCGTGAGCCACCGCACCGGCCTGTTTTTAATTTTTATTTATTTATTTATTTATTTAGAGATAGGGCCTTGCTCTGTCACCGAGGCTGGAGTGCAGTGGCACAACCATGGCTCACTGCAGCCTCGACACCCCTGGGCTCAGCTGATCCTCCCACCTTAGCTTCCTGAGTAGCTGGGATTACAGGCACATGCCGCCACAACCAGCTAATTTTTGTATTTTTTGTAGAGAGAGGGTTTCACAATGTTGCCCAAGCTGGTCTCAAACGCCTACACTCAAGCGATCCTCCCGTCTTGGCTTCCCAAAGTGCTGGGATTATAGGCGTGAGCCACCATGGCGGGCTGACAAATTAGCATATAAAATATGACTTAATTGTGGATTTTTATAGTTATGGACCCTAATGGGCATAATGAAAGTTATGTATGGAAGCACACCTCAGAGCAAAAATACTTAGAGTGAACCATGGTAATAAGGCTTCAGAGTCCTTTATTTATGTATTTATTTATTTGAGACGGCGTCTCACTCTGTTGTCCAGGCTGGAGTACAGTGGCACAATCACAGCTCACTGCAGCTTCGACTTCTCAGGTTCAATGGATCCTCCCGCTTCAGCCTCCTGAGTAGCTGGGACTACAAGTGTGCGCCACCATACCCGGCTAATTTTTTAAAAATGTTTTACAGAGATGGGGTCTCACCATGTTGCCCAGGCTGAGATTATTTTTATTAAAAAAAAAAAGATTGCAATATGAACTCTCTCCCTTCCTAAACAGATAATGCAGACTTTTTTCCTTTCAAATGAAGAGGTTTTATTGGAAGTTGCATAGAGAACACAGTCAGTCACGAGAGCAGAAGGAGCAGGTTCCAGGATTCTGGGGAGATAAGGGTCCAAGCTGAGAACTCCCCTGAGAAGTCTGTATGCAGACAGCCCCGGGTGATCCTGGCTGTCCAAGGGCTGAGGGCGGGTTGGGAAGGGCCCTCATCACCCCAGGGGCCAGCTCCCCACATAGCAGCTGAGTAGCACCCAGAGAACCCGGATCTTCACTCAAGGTGGCTGGCAGCAGAGCCACAGCCCAGGCCACCAAAGCCACCAGAGCCCCTGTGTGGCAAGGATCATGATGCGAGGGTGGTGAGTTGGTTGCTGTTCTCAGCAGGATCCTGGGTGTAAATGGCCATGCCTGTCCAGCACGGCTTATGGGGCTGAGCATGTGAGAACTTGTGTGGCCTGTGCCTGTGCAAACGCGTGTGCCCTGGGTATCACACCCAGAGCCCTGCTGTGTGAAGAAGCCTCAGTCATCACGTGTGAGCTCACAGTGGGCTGGTCATGGGGCCCCTTCCACATGGTGCACTGCTGCTGCAGGAATTGCTGTGTCTGCAAATTCTGGACATACCAGACCCTAAATAGAATGCTGGGAGCAGGCAGGTTACAGAAGCCTCTGAGTGCGGCAGCTCTATGGGAACTGGGGTGCTTCACTTACAAGTATTTGAGGTATTACAATGTATCCAATTTTTTTTTTTTTTTTTTTTGAGACGGAGTCTTGCTCTGTCACCCAGGCTGGAGGGCAGTGGTGCAATCTCGGCTCACTGCGACCTCTGCCTCCCGGGTTCAAGCAATTCTCCTGCCTCAGCCTCCTGAGTACCTGGGATTACAGGCGCCTGCCACCGTGCCCAACTAATTTTTTTCTTTCTTTCTTTCTTTTTTAGTCAGAGTTTCGCTCTTGTTCCCAGGCTGGAGTGCAATGGCGCCATCTTGGCCCACTGCAACCTCTGCCTCCTGGGTTCAAGCAATTCTCCTGCCTCAGCCTCCCGAGTAGCTGGAATTACAGGCATGCACCACCACACCTGGCTAATTTTGTATTTTTAGTAGAGATGGGGTTTCTCCATGTTGGTCAGGTTGGTCTTGAACTCCTGACCTCAGGTGATCTGCCCACCTCAGCCTCCCAAAGTACTGGGATTACAGGTGTGAGCCACCGTGCCTGGCCAATTTTTGTATTTTTAGTGGAGACGGGGTTTTACCATCTCGGCCAGGCTGGTCTTGAACCCCTGATCTCGTGATCCACCCACCTAGGCCTCCTAAAGTGCTGGGATTACAGGCATGAGCCACCGCACCCGGCCTGTTTATTTTGTTTGTTTGTTTAACTCCCCCTGCACCTCCGCCAAAAAAAAAAAAATAAAAGAAAAAGAAAAACTAACCTGTAACTCTGAAGTGTCTGGTAGCCAGGTGCGGTGGCTCGCACCTGTAATCCCAGCACTTTGGGAGGTCGAGGTGGGCAGATCATTTGAGGTCAGGAGTTTGAAACCAGCCTGACCAACATGGTGAAACCCTGTCTCTACTAAAAATACAATTACCTGGGCATGGTGGCGCACACCTGTAATCCCAGCTACTTGGGAGGCTGAGGCAGAATTGCTTGAGTTCGGGAGGCAGATGTTGCAATGAGCAGAGATTGCACTCCAGCCTAGGTGACAGAGCGATACTCTGGCTCAAAAAAAATAAAATAATAAAGTCTCTTGCCTTTGGAGTCGGGCATGAAATCTTAATCCGTGAGTTTTCTACCTGGGCCATGGTGGGCCACTGACCACCTTCGGCCTGGATGAAGGCTGGCCCCCAGAGGGTTGCCAAGCTTTGCCAGTGCTCCCTGGCCTGCGTGGGGCCTGGCTGAGGGCGAGGGCAACAGGAATGCATTGTGTCTGGGGCTGAGCAGGACTTGCGGTGCCTGGGCCCTTTGAGCCTGGTGACTCCTGAGTGTGACTCCTGAGTCTGACCCCATCACCCGTGTGGGCTGACACCAGCACCTTCCACGCTGTGCTTCTGTGTTTGCCGCCGGTCTCCAGGAGTGGCCGCTTCTCCATCAAATAATACTCCAGTCTTCACGCCCATGGCTTCCCCCAGACCCCAGCCCAGCCCGAGAACAAACGCTCCATTTTCCCTCCCTTACAGCTGCGGTGGTTGCCACCACATGGAAGGCCCAGAGGAAGGGAGGTCTGGAGTGGCCTGGAGCTGTGGCCTCCCCAGGCTACGGCCAGACCCACCAGGAGGAAGCCCCTTGCAGGCTCTAAGGTTAACGCCGCCAAACCAAGTCCTGATCCTGAGAGGCTGGCTCAGGATGAGGATGGGCGGTGGTGTCATGCACAGGCACCTGAGGTCCCTGGCTGCTGTGGCACGGAGAGGCCCCCACGGAAGGACTCCGCAGGTGCTGGAGCTCGCTCCCTGCATGGACAGCTGCAGCCTGGGCAGGGATAGGGGAGCAAAGCTGCAGGCCCGGCTCATCATGGAAATTCAGACCGGTGAGCCATGGAAGGACATCGCCAAGTCCATGTAGGGTGAGCTGGGGACAGCATGGGGAGTGGGAGGGGGGACAGTGGGGAGAGGGGAGAGCGGGGTGAGCTGGGTACAGCATGGGGAGGGGGACAGTGGGGAGGGGGGAGAGCGGGGGGAGCCTGGGGACAGCATGGGGAGTGGTGGGGGTGGGGGAAGGTGGAGGGAGGGCAGTGCATGGAGGACAGTGGAAGAGGGAGGCAGTGGTGACAGTGGAGAGGGAAGACAGTGGGGAGGTAGAAGGGAGGAGGGTAGGACAGTCCAGCCCCCATTGGCAGGGGCAGCTGGGGAGAGCAGGCCCCGCCTTTGTGTGCCCCAGGGCCTGGGCCTGCCTGGTTAAGAGTCTGCACACTCCTAGAGCTGGAGCTTCTCAATGTCGCTCTTGGAAGGTGACCCCACACTCCGCTGGGGATAATGCAGGGGGCCCAGGGGTCCTCCCTGGGAAAAGTGTGCTGTGCCCCGCCATAGGGTTCGTGGCAGAAGCCCCTCCCCTGAGCTCAGGCCTCACCTCCGGCCACTGAAGACAAGGAGATGCAGAGAGGAGGCCTCTGGAGTCTTGCCCCTTACCCCTGCACCCCTGCAGCACAGGCAGGGTGTGGTGGCCGTCTTGGAGGCACCCGGGCCTGGACAGCTATTCCAAAGCCATAGCTGCCCTCCCCAGGGTGGGTCGCTTGGTCTTAGGAGCGTCCAAGCTGCAGAGCCCAGTAGACAGAACCTGGATCCAGCGCCTCACTTTACAGGAGGGGAAACTGAGGCACAAGCATGTGCTACCTGGCTCGGGGGCCAGCAGGCAGCCTTTTCCCTTCTGTCACCTGCCCTAGGGATGGACCGCCCCATCTGCCAGCCTTGACTGGAGCCTCCCTGGTGGATGTTTACCGCACACCTACTACGTGCAGGGTGGTGCAGCTGGCGAGAGTCCCCTCTCCTGTTCCACAGACCGGCAAGGTTCCCCTGAGCCCTGGGGCAGGCAGGACCTTTGGCTGGAGGTGGGTGTGCAGGGCAGGGTCTCTGAGGGGAGACCTCAGACTGTGGACTTGCGGGTGGACGCTTCTCTCTGTCGGGGCCTCCCGTGTCCAGAAGATGTTGAACAGCATCTGAGGCTTCCACCCGCTGAAGCCGAGGAACAGCCCCCAGCTGTGACAACCCAAAATGCCTCCAGACCTGGCCCCATGTCCTCCAGGGGGACGGAACAGCCTGGTGTAGGGCAGGGTCCCCTGAGCAGGAGTGGCACCTGTTCCTGCTCATACCACAGACAGCTGAGCTGGCTGTGCCCAAGACTCCCTGCACCCACCAAAGCCACTGGATACAGGCACGATTTGCATCTTACTCTCTTAAGTCAGGTTTCTGGAGATGGCTGTCCCAACACTGGAATCCAGCCTGTCTACAGCAAGGGAGAAAGAGGAAGCTGATGTTGGGCTGAGAGGGGCAGGCGTTACAGGGTAGGTCTCACAAATGCCGACGTGACAGGCAGGGCTTCTGAGGGGGCTTCAGGGACCAGCAGGGAGGCGAGACTCAGGCACTGACCCGCAGAGAGCATGGCCTTGGACGCACAGTGGTGACAGCAGCCTCCAAGTGTCCCCCGTGCCCTCAGGCATGAGGGACAGAAGCTTCTGGGGCCCCTGCCTCTTTCCTGCCCATCCCCTGGTGAAGGAAAATCGCCTCTGATAGGAAAAGCTGGGGCCAGACTCCCTCTCCCTGCATTAGTGTCGCCGTCCTGCCTGTGAGGTCCCCGGGCCCAGGGCACCTCCCGGGACACCCGAGTGGTGATGCACGACCCTCAGTCCTGGGGCTTAGGACCTCTGGGTGCCCCCGCAGGTCCGTCCTGGAGTCACTTCACAGTCACTGCAAATGGGCACCACAGCCCACTTTCCAACGCCCCAACTTTCCACACCCAAGCAGCTCCTTGTCCCTGCCAATCAATGCCCGGTGATGACAACTGTTCTTTTATAAACACCACACATCTTCTAATGCTTTCATGTTAAAAGCGGGAGTGGATCCCACATTCACCTAAAGGCTCAGGTAGGGACTTTTTTTGCAGAAAACCAATTTCTTGTAACAAGTACTGGAACCTCATTGTAGCCTTGAGTCCTCACTCCTCCTTTTGTTCTAAGTCTGGGTCTGAGAAGTGCAGGCCTCACACAGCTGTCAGTTCCAAGTGACCAGGGCTGTAACAGGTCCTGGCTGACCCTGGGAATGTCAGGGGATTCTGGGAAGTAAGAAGGAGGGGCATTTGCCCATAGCCCCGGGGCAGACAATGTGTCCCGAGGGCCAGGCCAGGCTGTCTACTCCATCTCCCTGGGGCGAGTGCACCTCGGGTCACCTGGCAGCATCCTTTCCAGCCCTTCTGGAGACAGTCAGCAGCTGATTCATTCCGGGAACCAGCATGGCAGGTGCCGGGGCTGGTCAGGGCCCAGGGCTGTACCCCTCAGCACTGGACCACCCCGTCTCCTGCCCCCTTGGGACTGTTGGGCTCCGAGGAGCCTGGCGCTGGGGTCGGAGGTCTTCATCAGGACCCTGGGGACCCTCAGGGTTGAGTGGGGTGGGGCTGCTGAGGGTGGTGGGGGCCGGGGGAGCCACCTCTCACTTTGGGGATCATTGCTGAGGTGAGAAGGGGGACTGTGGCCACCAGGTGATACCCTCTCCATGCACCTAACTGCTGCTCAGGACTCTGGGGACCGTGTTGCCAGGCCTGCGCCTGCTGGACATGGGCGTCTCCAGCCCTGCTGGGCTGTGTCTTTCTCGCTGCAGAGCCAAGAGCCCCGGCAGCCCCTGTAGCCAAACACGGCCCTGGCACAGCCTTTCTTCTGGCAAACTCCACCCGTGCGTCTTCCAAAGGTGGCTCAACTTTTCACCGGAACAGCCGAGGGACATTGTTCCTCCCAGGGAATGTGGCAGAGGACACTGAAGCCCAGTGGGGACTTCCGGGGGCTCCTCGGTGTGGACGGCTAACTACACTTGTGGGCACACACATGAGTGGGTCCTGTGGCTTCCGGGCGGGAGGCAGGTTGGGAGCGTTCAGGGCAGAAGAGCTCCTGTGACCGTGTCCCCTGCAAACAGCCTCGCGTGACCCCAGCAGCACAGAGGCCGTCCTGGAAGAGCGGACGCCCAGTCTTCTTTTTAAACCAAACACCCTTCGGTCTCAGGATCCCGCATCCCACGGGAAGACCCACAGTGGGTCTGGGGTACTGGGAAGAGCCTGGTGCTGAATCCCGCACGCTCCGGGTAGAGACAGCCCATCACCAGTCCCTTCCTGTGGGTGACTGGCAGTGACAGCGGGGAGCCCACTCACTTGGGGACATTTGCCTTTGGTGTGGATGACGCTTTTGAAAGGGCCTCATTCCAGGATCACAGCCAACGCCAGCAGGTTCTCCCTGGGATCCAGCAGTGGTCCTTCTGGGGGCTGCCCCAAGTGCTCCCCTGCAGTCTGGGAGTCCATGCTCAAGCTGCCACCTGGCCTCTCACGGTGGCGTCTCACGGAAGCCCTGTCCACGCTCTGGGCGGTGAGCTCCGGTCAAACGTGGCCTTGGAAGGGAGATGAAGGAGAGAGAGGAACATGAAGCACCCCTTTCCCTTCTGCAGGCAGACGTCGGTTTTCTCAGGACTCAGCTTGGTGGAAACACAGGGTTTAAAGCTTCGGAAACAGCGGCCTGTTCAGGGAACTTCGACTGGCTCCGACGGGAACAGGCCGGCCGTGTTTTTAGCAAGCTGTGTTCCTGCATCATCTGGATGGGCCGACCTGGCCTTGGAAGTGCGTTTCTGCGGTCGGCCATCAGCTCGCCTGGGTCCACAGGTGACACCACAGCATGGTGGCTGCGCACACCCTGAGCCCACTGTCCCCGGGGAACCCCTTCTCCTGGGCGGCAAACAGGGCTCGGAGGGGATCCTGGCCCATGGCGGGGAGCCCGGCTGGCCTGCCTGCGAAGCCCAGCGCCCCTTGCAGCCAGAGGCACCTGCCAGGTGGGTGACCGTGTGTGGACATTTTTCCCAAATTGGACAGGAATCCACATCTATGTTGCTCCTGGAACTGAGGGGCAAACGAGAGCTGCAGGAGTGGCTGCCACAGAGAGAAGCTGGCGGTGCCCGGACCCACTCCGGACACCCCACAGGGGCTGGGCGCCGGTGCCTGGACCCGCCCTGGACACCCCACGGGGGCTGGGCGCCGGTGCCTGGACCCACTCCGGACACCCCATGGGGGCTGGGCGCCGGTGCCTGGACCCGCCCTGGACACCCTGGTCGGGGCTGGGCACTGGGGAGCGCGGGGGTCTAGCACTCGTCTCTCTGCTTCTGTGCATGTTGGGAAAATCCCATCGCAGTGTGACAAAGTGCACACCAGGATGCCATCCCATGCCAAGGGGAGGCTGCAGGAAATGCCATGCGCACCATCGAGGGCTTCGCTGCGTCTCCAGGAACAACAGTTGTTCAAGGCAAGGGACTTTTGCCTTTTGAAAGTTTTTTGAAACTCTGAAAGACAGCTGGCAGCCAAGCCTCCCCTGGGCCCCCCAGAACCTGCTGCTTCCCACGGCAAACTCACCAGTGAGCTCTGTCTCCGGACTCACAGCCCAGGCACCTGGAGGACAAACCAAAATGGTCAGGGCAGCAGCGATGGGGGGTGTCCCTAAAGCCCCTGGTGTTCCTGAGCTCTCAGCAGCCCCCTAAACACCCTACTTGGAAGTCTCCCCAAGGCTCCCAGCTCCAGGCGGGGAAAACACTCACAGATGAGGGGCTCCCCAGGCCACGTGGCTTTTGAGAAAGATCCTCTTAAAGGGGTACGTGCCTGGGAAGCACTTAAAATGCTGTGACCTGGATCTGGGGCCCTTCTGCGGCCCAGCCAGCAGTGGCATCATGGCCGTGGAAGATGTTTCTGGGATGACTGAGATTGGCCACAAATGGGAAAGCCAGGGGCAGCCCACAGGAGCCGCCCCTACTCCGTGGCCACTGCGCCTGCACTCCATTGACTGCCACCCTTGGGGGGTTCTGGGAAGAGCCCCCCCCGTCATCAGGACCATCACTGCAGCCAACGTTCAGGGCTTCCTGCGCCACTGCGTCCTGCTGCTGTGTCTTACATGGCTGAAACACAGACCTCCGGGCTCTGTCGCGGAGCTGGCCAGAGTCACAGACCCACAGGGCAGGAGTGCTCAAGGCAGCCTCAGCGGCTTCCCTGGAAATGACCACCACCCCGGCCTCTACATGCAGAAGCCACCCTGCCCACCCGACCTGCAGGGCAGACCTCGCAGCGCCCTTCTGGCTTGGCAGTGTCAGGAATGTCAGAGATGCTGGGTTTCAAAACCACTTTGTGGGATAGTTCGGGTTGCTAAGCCTCATGAATATTAGTGCTACCACAACAAAGTTCCTTTGTTTTTTTGGGGGGGACAGAGTCTTGCTCTGTCGCCCAGGCTGGAGTGTAGTGGCGTGATCTCGGCTCACTGCAAGCCCCGCCTCCCGGGTTCACGCCATTCTCCTGCCTCAGCCTCATGAGTAGCTGGGACTACAGGCGCCTGCCACACGCCCGGCTAATTTTTTGTATTTTTAGTAGAGACGGGGTTTCACCGTGTTAGCCAGGATGGTCTCGATCTCCTGATCTCGTGATCCACTCGCCTCGGCCTCCCAAAGTGCTGGGATTACAGGCGTGAGCCACCGTGCCCAGCCTACCACAATAAAGTTTCAAGCTAAATCAGTATCAGTGAGGGAAGTTAAAGCAGGCAAACATTCACACCAACAGGACAAACACTAACATCCACAATATGGGGCCGTCTCTACCTGCATAGCTGTGTTGGAGGCATCGGTCCCTGCACACCCAGCCTATGGCCACCGCCACGACCACAAGCAGGCACAGGACAGCCAGGATGCTCCACGTGGCCGCGTTTTTCTCGCCGGTACTGACTGGATTCTCTGTGATCTTGTCTCTCTCTCCGATGTCATTTCCTACAAGAAAGAGGAAAATAACCCGACTTAAAGGATCTTAGAGGAAAAGGGTCTTTTTTTTCATCCTTGAGTAGAAAGTGTTGCAAGGAAGTATTTATTCCAGAGAACTTCCCTGACATGATTTTGAGGTTTTAAAAACACCAAACTGATGAGATGAGGGTTTTCTCTTACAGAGGGGCTTCATTTCCTGCAGGGATCTTGTTCCTCCTCGTCCTACCTGGGAGGGGCGATAACCCCAACCACAGCCAGGGGACCATAGGGCTGGGTATGGTGGGAAGCACAGGTTCTTACTGGATTTTTTTTTTCTTTTTTTTTGAGGCAGAGTCTTGCTCTGTTGCCCACGCTGGAGTGCAGTGGCGTGATCTTGGCTCACTGCAAGCTCTGCCTCCTGGGTTCACGCCATTCTCCTGCCTCAGCCTCCCGAGTAGCTGGGACTACAGGTGCCCACCACCATGCCTAGCTAATTTTTTGTATTTTTTTAGTAGAGACGGAGTTTCACCATGTTATCCAGGATGGTCTCGATCTCCTGACCTTGTGATCCACCCACCTCGGCCTCCCAAAATGCTGGGATTACAGGCATGAGTCACCGCGTCCGGCCCTTACTGGATTTTTAAAAATCAAAGTGAGGTCAGGCACGGTGGCTCACGCCTGTAATCCCAGCACTTTGAGAGGCCAAGGCGGGTGGATCACCTGGGGTTGGGAATTTGAGACACACCTGGCCAACATGCAGAAACCTTGTCTCTACTAAAAATACAAAATTAGCCAGGTGTGGTGGTGCATGCCTGTAATCCCAGCTACTCGGGAGGCTGAGGCAGAATTGCTTGAACCCGGGAGGCAGAGGTTGCGGTGAGCCGAGATCGTGCCATTGTACTCCAGCCTGGGCAACAAGAGTGAAATTCCGTCTCAAAAAAAAAAAAAAAAAAAAAAGGTGAAAGCCACATAACATAAAATTAACCATTTCATTTTATTTATTGAGCTTTTGAGACAGGGTCTTGCTGTGTTGCCCAGGCTGAAGTGCAGCGGTGTGATCATAGGTCACCGCAGCCTCGACCTCCTGGGCTCAATCAGTTCTCCCACCTCGGCCTCCCAAGTAGCCGGGACTGCAGGCGTGCACCACCAGGCCTGGCTAATTTTTTTTTTGGTAGAGATGAGATCTCACTATATTGCTCTGGTTGGTCTTAGGGCTCAAGTGATCCTCTTGCCTCAGCCTCCTAAGTAGCTGCAACTATAGGTGTGCACCACCTTGCCCAGCCAAAATGAGCCACTTTATGCTTTATTTATTTATTTACTTTTTTGAGACACAGTCTTCCTCTGTCGCCCACTCTGGAGTGTAGTGGTGCGGTCTCGGCTCACTGCAGCCTCCGCCTCCCAGGTTCCAGCAATTCTCCTGCCTCAGCCTCCCGGGTAGCTGGGATTACAGGCACATGCTACCACACCTGGCTAATTTTTGTATGTTTAGTAGAGAAGGGGTTTCGCCATGTTGTCTAGGCTGGTCTCAAATTCCTGACCTCAGATGATCCACCCACCTCAGCCTCCCGAAGTGCTAGGATCAGGTGTGAGCCACCCCTCCCGGCCCAAAATGAACCATTTTAAAGTGAACAATTCAGGGTGCCAGTGCCATCATAACCACCACCTAATTCCAGGACCTGTAACCCCCAAAAGGGAACCTTGTGTCCATGAGCAGTCACTCCCCACTCTTCCCTGCCGTCTGCTGTCTTTCTGGGCAGTTCATCGGGGAGAATGGTCGTGTCCATTTCAGATGGACTGTGAGCCCGTGTCAGCAGCAAGAAGGAGCAGATCCAAATGAGGGGGTCTCAGAACAGCTGGGGCCTCTAATTTTTCTCTTAAATTTTGTTCTCATTTAGTGCTTCATGGCACTCCCTTCAAATTTCACTTTTAAAACTCTAGCTTGGACGTGGTGGCTCACACCTGTAATCTCAGCACTTTGGGAGGCTTAGGCAGGAGCATCGCTTGTGTCCAGGAGCTTGAATCTAGCCTGGGCAACACAGTGAGGCCCCATCGCTACAAATAATCAAAATTAGCCAGGCGAGGTGCATGTGCCTGTAGTCCCAGATACTCAGGAGGCTGAGGCAGGAGAATTGCTGTCCTCCTGCACCAGAAGCCTCCAGTTGCTTTGTGTCTCAGTGGCTCACCCTATTCTGGACACTTTGCATAAACAGAGTCCCACAGGCTTGTCCTCAGGTGTCTGGCTCTGTCACTCGCATAATGGCCTTGAGGTTCTCCACGCCGCAGCGTGCGTCAGGACAGCGGCCTCCTTCCTTTTTCAGGCTAATTCTCCCCTGCACGCATGGATCACGTTTGGTGCATCCGTCCACCCACGAGGAACACTCGGGTGGTTCCTACCTTCTGGCTGCCATGAACATTCACGGACAGGCATTTGTTTGAGTCCCTGTTCTGAATCCTCTGGCCTATATCGCTAGGAGAGAACTGCTGGGTCCTGCAGTGCTTCCACGCTGAGCTTTTCGAGGAACTGCCACAACGTTCCCCATGGCAGCTGCGCCCTTCTGCTTTTCCGCCACGATGCACAAAGCTAACAATGCCTCTGGTCTCTGTGTGCAGTGCCCTTCAGAGAGCCGTCCTCACCGGCAAACAAGCAGCGGCATCCCCCTGGGAGCTTGTTCTGAATGCCCGGCGCGTCTCCAAACACACTTGGAGAAACCACCTGGACGGTGCTCAACCTTGAACCTCTGAAGCTTTTAGACACTGTCCCGATGCCAGGTGCCAGCCCAGAGCTTCAGGTGCAATGGGTCTGGGCATGGGGGCTTTCATAGGCTGCCCAGATGACCCCACTGTGTGGCCGGGGTTGAGACGACAGCCCTGGGAGAAGCTTCTGCTGCCACCTGGGCTGCTCTGCGGGGAGTATGCTGGCTGGAAGGCAGTTATCAGAGGCTGCTTTGGGAGCAGCCCCTCATCCCGCTGCATGCAGCTCAGACACTCTGAATGTTGAGTCAGAAGGGCTGAGCCCTGATTTCAAGAAGGAGAAGGTCCGGCTCTGCCGGGGATCCTGGCGGCCAGGGTGGACTTCGAGGGTATGACCTGTGCAGGCTTCTGGGGTTGAGCTCAGAAAGGCCGGCAGGAGGTGCAATGCTTGTGGTCACTGTCTGGAATTCTTAATGCTCCCGAAACAAGGAGCCCTGCATTCTTGCTTTGCCCAGGGCCACACGGTGAGTCCTGCTGGCAGCCCCTTTCCTGCAGCCAGCAGGGCCCCAGGACCCCTCCTCGATCATCTCCTGCCTCCATCTTCTGCCTCTCATCCTGACACAGGAGATGGGGACACAAATGGGGAGGGCCTGTGTCCTCTACAAAGGAGTCCCCGTAGAGGAACCCCTTCCACAGGGCACCCCTTCCACAGGGAGGGGCTGGGCCAGCAGCCGTGCGCAGTGGGATTCCCGTGTCTGGGGGCTTCAGTCTTCTCAGGGGACACACGCCCAAGAGGCAGGGAGCTTGGGTGGGGGCTGCACAGCTGTGGGCTTCTGTTCTGGGCTGCTGCTGCCTAGTGCTGCGGCTTCTGAAGTGTTACCCAGCCTCAGAGTTCAGCCCTCATCTGTAAAGTAGGTTTAAGAAAACCGACTCCAGGTGAAGAAAATGGAGCAATATGCACTGGGCACGGCACCCATTCCTGTTCCCAGAGACCGCGGTGGTTCTCACTGTGCGGCATGTGCCTCTCACCTCCCCTCCCTTCCAACCACCTTTCGGGTGCTGAGCCGCGTCGAAGGGACTTTTTGTCTCCTACCTCAGAGGCTCTCCCAAGCCAGCCCTGGCCCCACTGTCGGGCACAGCTCAGCACGCAGGCGCCGGGACCTTACCTGTCTGGCTGCCGACAGTCAGGTTCTGCTGCAGAAGCACGTTCTCTATGCAGCAGCCAATGTTCACGCTGGGGGTCCGTGCGATCCTCAGCACGCTGACCACGTCATACAAGCCCCGCATGTTCAAGAAGACGGTGTCATTCTGCAGAGCCTGGTCCAGCAGGCTGTTGTCCGTCTTATTGATCCAGTACACGTTGGGCCTGGGGTAGCCGTTTATGGATGTACACGTGAAGGTGAGCTCATCCTGGGAGGGGCTGTGGGGGGCGCTGACGACGGGCACGCTGAAGTTTGCTGCAGGGGAGGGAAACAGATTGTGAGAGATGCCAGACCCTGCTGGTCAAGAAACAGAGGGTACACGGTGCCAAGGCTGGGTCAGAGGGGAGGCGGCCCATTGTGCCCCGACATGGGTGACAGGCCAGGACCAGGGCTGTGGTCCGAGCAGCAGGCTCCGCCCTGTCCTGCCCAAGAGTCATCCCCCAAGCCAGTCCCAGTAGCCAGGGACCGCTGAGCCTGTCGGGCAGTGACTGGCACCCACAGACCCCCCACTCCACAGCCGTCGGCTGTGCCGGGACCCCCTCATTTGGATCTGGTCATTCTCACTGCTGACACAGGGGCTCACAGTCCATCTGAAATGGACACAGCTGTTCTCCCCAATGAACTGCCCAGAGCTCCTTGGTTGCCTCTTATTTTTCTCTTAAATTTTGTTCTCATTTAGTGCTTTATAGAGTTCCCTTCAAATTTCACTTTTAAAACTCTAGTTTGGATGTGGTGGCTCACGCCTGTAATCACAGCACTTTGGGAGGGTGAGGCAGGAGGATCGCTTGTGTCCAGGAGTTTGAGACCAGCCTGGGCAACATAGTGAGACCCCATTTCTACAAATAATCAAAATTAGCCAGGCGAGGTGGCATGTGCCTGTAGTCCCAGATACTCAGGAGGCTGAAGCAGGAGAATTGCTTGAGCTCAGGAGGTCAAGGCTGCAGCGTGATCACGCTACTGCACTCCAGCCTGGGCAACAGTGAGACCCTGTCTCAAAAAACAAACTAATTGGCCAGGCGCGGTGGCTCACACCTGTAATCCCAGCACTTTGGGAGGCTGAGGCGGGCGGATCACGAGGCCAGGAATTTGAGACCAGCCTGGCCAACATGGTGAAACCCTGTCTCTACTAAAAATACAAAAATTAGCTGGGTGTGGTGGCACGCGCCTGTAGTCCCAGCTACTCGGGAGGCTGTGGAGAATTGCTTGAACCCAGGAGGCGGGGGTTGCGGTGAGCCAAGATTGTGCCACTGCACTGCAGCCTGGGTGACAGAGCGAGACTCCGTCTCAAAAAACAAAAACAAAAACAAAAGCTAACTAACTCAAGAGGCAAAGACAGCAAGGGTAGGAGCTCTTCCGGGAAACCAAGCAGCCGCAGGTCATGCACTAAGGATTTTTCAGCTGTTTAGTTTCCCTCGAAGTTAGACAGAAGCCTGATAACACAGATGAGAATTTTCTTCACTGGAAGAAACAGTGAATGAGCCAGGGAGGGGGTTTCATGAACACTTGTCCACGATGTGAGGCTGGGATGGACCTAGCTCTCCCCGCCTCGATGGTCCTACCTGCCACATGCAGTGTAACCTCAACGCTCAAAACCTCCTGGAATCCCAGGGATTGGCTCAACACCAGGCAGTGAAACTTCTGCTCGTCCTGGGGGGTGACGTTGAACAAGCGCAGGGAGAAGTCGCCCCGCAGCATGCCGGCCGGTGACATCAGGGCTCGGTTCCGGTAGCGGCTGTCCACGTTTTCCAAGGAGCTGTTCTGTGGGATGTGGTAGGTCACCACGGTTTTCGACTCACTGGTTTGCCAATATACGTAAACATCATTTAAATCAAAACGGCTTCCTTCAGGGCAAGCGCAGCTGAGCTCCACGTCGCTGCCTACCATCGCTCTGACTTCCTTCTCCTGAGTATCTGCAATGGCCCAAAAGGTGCAAAATCTGTTTTCGGAGGCTGATGCCCAGGCCATGAAGCTACTCTATGGGGCAGACTTTGGGTTTCAAGCCTCAAACACCAACGGTGGCTCAGAATTTATTAACAAGGCACATGTAGGAATGCAGTCAAACTTGAAAAACGCAGACATTTCATGGTGAGGTCCATGTCAGTCTTTGGCTTCGATGACACACTCCTGTTATGTAAGGGGCTGCCATGGGGAGGAGCGGCTGGATGGGGCCTGGCCGCTCAGTGTTATTTTTGTTACTCAGCACTACTTTTACTACTTCTCGGGAGTCTATAATTAATGCACAATAAAAAGTTCTTTAAGGGAAAGGCATTTAAGGGAAAAGAATTTCTCAGCAATTACATTATATTGCTGCTCACTTGCAGTAGGAAAGCTGTCACAAATGT